>NC_000009.12:99735703-99887218 GCF_000001405.40 Homo sapiens
CTCTGATCTCATGGAACTTTGTTTTGCCACTGTAAAGAATTTAGCACAGTGTTCTATGTTAGATATTCAACTGAACTTCTCAAGATCATAGTCCTTCATTGAAATTCTCAGTGTTTAGTCCATAGTATGTGTTCAATAAATGTTTGTTGGATGGATGGATGCATGGACCCATGGATGCATGGATGGATGGGCAGGAGGGTGGATGTATGGAGTCTGATTATTAATGTTTTAACTTAACACTTTCTGTGACAAGGAACTCATTGAACAATTTTCTGTGAAGTCTATAGACATGAATTAATGAGATTCTCTCACTATTGGAAGTACCCTCTGAAAGCAGAAAAAGTAACTATCTTGGATGTTGTCTGATTCTTTGAAGCCACTAACGTATCATTCAGACATTTAGCACTCTAAAATATATTATTAATACTCCAGTACCACAATATTTGACAAGTAGACTTTATACTTGTCAGGTAGACATTATACAGAAGCAGCATCAGCCATCGGCAAAGGTGTGATGTCGGTAAATTTTCTTCTCCTCCTCATTTAACAACCTCCCCAAATCCAGACCCTCAGAATTCCAAGGATTAAACTGGTTCTGCTATTTCAGCCACACTAAAGTGTTAAGCTGGGTACGAGTTTCTCATTCCAGTAGTGTTTATGCTTTAGAGAAGGAGGGATGCCTTGGAAACAAAATTATTCAACCAGCAAAGTATTTTTCTGAGTACTTGTTACACAAAAGTTTGTGCCAAGTGCTTCAGGGATTACAAAGAGGATAAAACATGTTCCAGTCCTCAAGGGGTTTATAGTCTAATTTAGGAGGAAGTCATAGACCGCGAAATCTTAAAATACAACACAAGAAAGAATATTCCTGATGATGTACTGGTACATGGAATGCTTCAGTCCCAAAGAAAAATACACAGAAACAAAAAGAATGAAACTTAGAGGCCTTCAAGTCTAACTTCCATCCAATTGTCTCTACAATATTCTCAGCAACTCTCTAGTCGAATACTTTCAGCAATAAGAAATCCACTATTTTAGAAGAGAATCTTCCCTGCTATAGGGGAAAATGAAAATTCTGTTTGTAAACATATATGTGTGTGCACACTATATATATTTTTTATACACATACATGCGCATTTCTAGATCTCTTACATTGACCTGAAACCTGGCTTCCTGTAACTTCTTTTAATCCCAGAGAAGTACAGGTGAAATTCACTAGCCTTTTCAGCATAAAAACAGATACATCTACCATAGGATTTCTCTTCTTCATGCTAAACATCTCCAGTTCCTTCAATGATTCTTTGTCCAATATAGTTTCCTGCCCTTGCTATCTCAGTCATCCTCTTTAAAATACATTTAATTTGTCAGTGACCCTTTTACAATATAGTACTACAAATATTATTCATATCTAACTATATTACTATTAATATATTATCTATACATTTAAAAGTAATTTATTTATAATATTAGTATTAAAAATGTAACATTAATTTTCAACTGATGTCTATATTATCAAACTACCTGCTAGATAACACCACTTAGACATCTCCAACTTAATCTGTTCAAAACCAAGCTCTTGATCTTCCTCTCATAGCCCTCCTCATCTAGTAAATGGTAACTCCACCTTTTGCTTTCTTTGAAGCTCTTGCTCAGACCAAAAACTTTCTTTCATATCTCCTGTCCTAACAATCAGGTATCCTACTGGCTCTACCTTCAAATTATATCCAGAATCTTACCACTTCTTCCCACCTTCGCCACTACCACCCATGCCCAGATGGCCATCACCTTTTGTCTGGATTATTAAAGTAGCCTCCTGCCTAGGTTTCCTGCTTCCACTCTTCCTCCATTCTCCTACCACACTCTACTCTCCACGAAGCAGCCAGAATGATGCTTTTAAAATGTAAGTCAGATAATATTACTCCTCTGCTCCAACTCTCTAATTATTCCCATCTCGTTTAGAAAGCCCTTTAAAAAGGCCTATGTGATCTGGCTACCTCCATGGCCTCCCACTACTCTGCTCTCATACTCTGTTCCTGCCACACCTGTCTCCTCACTTTCCTCAAACACACCAAGCACACACCTGCTTTGGGGTTTCTGCACAAACTGTTCCCTCCGCATGGAAACTCTTCCCGGAGAGACTCACATAGCTCCCTCCTTCCGATCTCTGCTCAGATGCCACCTGATCACACTGTTTAAAATAGCAAATTCCACCCCCACACCCAGTGCACCCTCTCTCCCCCTTACCTACCTGACTTTTCTCCATAGCACTGAACACCAACTGTCACACCATGTATTATTTATTTATTTATTATTGACTGTCTCCCCTACTAGACATAAATTCTGTAAGGGCAGAGAGTTCTGTCTGTTCTGTTTACTGATGTATGCTTCACACCCAAAGTGGTCCTTGGAAGATTGATTAGACTCACATATTGGATGACTGAGAGAATAAATGAGTGAACGAACAAATATGTTCCCAACTAGTGAACGAATCTGTTCTCAATATGTTTGTAGAGGTGAGATCTACAAAAACAATTCTATCAGTTGCTCACACTTTTCTTTCCACCTAACAAACCACCATAGTTTTACCTACCATCTTTCACTAATTTCTTCTTAGGATTTGGGCAAAGGGATTGGCTTAATTCAATTAGGAACCTTATGTCATGATTTCCTTAAATAGTGGAGCTGTCGATGCTATAATAAAACGGATCTCTTCAAGGCTTAAAAAAAGTCTATGAAGAACATTCTTATCTAATTTTGAATTTTAATGAATAGTTATAACGATGAGTAATTAATTTCGATATTTATAGAAAATGAAATGCATTTTTTTCCTTTAAGAAAATCTAGCACTTTAGGAACAACAAATTCTTGGAGAAAAAATTTTTGATGAGATCATTAAAGTTGGAAGCATTGTACCTACATAGCCATAACAAGCAAAGCAAATGAATGGGCACCAAATGGCATCTTTCTCCCCGTGCCCAACTCTTTCTGAGCATGTCAATTTCTCTGATATGTAAGAAACTGCCAGAGAAGAGTATCAGGGAGAGTTAAGCACAAGTTTCCCGGTAGCTAGGGCACAAAGAAAACCACACAGTATGTCTATGTTACAAGCAAAGAAAAGCTAATGTACTAAATCCAGAAGAAATTTATCATGTAATTTTTCATAATAGATTTTAGGTAATGTAAGGCACAACTTCCTCAGCAACGCTATTTGCAAAAAAATGCAAAATCATCGTTCCAGTGGAAAATTCCTGTATTGATTCTGATAAAGGCTCAAAGCATAATACTAAATTTCTAACTCAGTGAGAGCATTTTTATCAGGAACAGAGGTAATCCAGTCCAGATATGTTGCTTCCTGATACAATAACAAATTTCTTGAATAGAGATTAGAGAAGAGATATGGAAAGATGGCTTGTCCATTAAATTGTCTCTCTCCGATATTATATGTCTTAGGTGAGCCTTTGTCAAGCACATGGTTATGAGTCACTTCAGGATTGAATTCGCTGACAAGTGCCTGAAGTGCCAATAGTCTATGCTGTTGATTATCCATATGCTTTAAACACCAGATGTGCAGGAAGTGAAGCTGACATTCTGTTGTCAAATTTTTAAGAACCTGACTTGTATTCTTGCCATTCTATTTCTGCACACAGATAAGCTGCAGGGGTTCCTGCAGGTGATACAGTATTTCCTCCAAAATGGAATTTGAATCCACTCACATACTTAGACAAACGCTCTTTTGAGGATCCTGAATTTTTTACTATATTACAGAAGATGATTTGGTCTGAGACCTTTCTTAGGGAAGGTATACAGTCAACTTTTTCAATTATTTTTTAAAATAAAAACAACAAAACAAAACACCCTCAATCAGCCTGGGCAACATGGTGAGATGGATCTCTACAAAAAAAATTAAAAATTTAGCCAGGCATGGTGGTACATGCCTGTAGTCCCAGCTACATGGGAGGCTGAGGCAGGAGGAGCACTCAAGCCCAGGAGGTCGGGGCTGCAGTGAGCCATGATCAATGTACTCCAGCTGAGCAACAAAACGAGAACCTGTCTCAAAAAAAAAAAAAATCCACCCTGATTATGACCCCAGTTGAAGTAATACCTGGTATGCCTGTCAGAATGAGTTAGCTAGGGTGAAAAAAATGCTCCTATGGACCAGAATGAGTTGACTTCTTGGTTAAGGTTATCTGATATTATCAACTTAAATGTTGGAGAGCGTTTGCCAAAAGCAGCAATTTTAGCTCTGATACAGTTGATGCTAAGCTACTCTAACAATAATTAGTCAGCAGGTTCAGCTGCTCCTTTTATAGTATTGTTTATTACAAAACATTATAAAAACATTAGCAAAATTCAAAATAAAATAAATGAAAATCCACCCAAAATTCTGCCATCCTACAAACCAAACTGTTTACATTTTTTCATGCTCCCTTTCAGTCCCTGTCCATATGCAGACAGAATTTTTATAGTTGCAATCATAGCACAGATACAATTTTGTATTCAGGTTTGTCTCAATTAGAGTTTTTAAAGCATTTTTATAGTCTACTCCATCATCTTTGTTTCTACTACTAGGAATGCTTTACCCCATCATCCTTAGTGACCTTCCATGCAATCCAAACTGGTGAGGAAGGTTTATAAAGAATAATAATCAACATGACTAGAAAAAAAGGGTTATTTTTAAATTCCCTCTTTAAGGGACAGGGTCCCTAGATTTAAATTTGTGTGGAAAGGATTTCTCTTACCCTTTGTTCCCCTAACTGAAACCTTTATGAAAATAGTCAATTTCCCCACCATCAGGCATGTTTCTGTTATCTTAAAAAAGAGTTTTTGCAGGTATTTCCACTTTACCTGGTTTGTTTTGAAGACCTGCTTAGTATTTAGGACATAAGCATATAGAGACATCTTTTCCTCCATCTGCTATAAAAGATTTGTATAACTTGGAATTTACAAAGTGTGGATACTAGACACCGAATCCATATGATTGCGAAGTGGCATGCTCAGCTGTCAAAATGTTGGGTACCTGGATGCATCATTTTCCATTTTAGTTTGGACTTCTTTAGTCACTGGCTTCCACACTAGACTGCACAGCGGACTCATCTGGAGGGGAGCTGGTAAAAACACAGATCCCAGGACCCATCCTTGACCTTGTGAAGCAGAATCTCTGGGATTCATCTAGAGACTAATGTTTGGTAACCATTGTACATCACAAAATGTCAGAGATCTCTCTTTCTTGATAATACGTCTGATTTGTATGGGTTGTGGATTTTTACAGGGAGGGAAGGGAAAAGAACTGTAAGGATTGGAGAAGGGACAGTAACATGGAAGAAGCAAATGGCCTATATAAACTTTGTTGAAAATTTTTTGAGCTAGGTAGGTCTGAAACGTAAATCACCTGTACCAATAATCCTGGCAAGCCTCATGAAGTCAATAGGCTCAGATGTTTCGATGAGCCAACCAACCTAACCTCAATCCTCTATACACAACCCTGGAAACCCAAGGGGCCATGGCCACAAAGGAAGAGGATGTCTGATGGTGATAATGTTGGAGTAGTATGTATCAAAAAAAACCTTTTTAATCATAATGCTTTGACTCTTGAAAGCTTTCACTTTTAATTCTTATTAAAAGTGATGTTATTATAATGTTCTATATTTGGATTTTTACAAGCATGGATTCATGTATTAATTGGGTAATTTTTTTAAAAAAATTGAAGAGTGGGTTATACCCTTATGTGTATAAGGGTATTGCCATTTTGGGTCCGATAATTCTTTGTTGTATGGACTGTCCTGTGCACTGTAAGATGTTTAGCAGCATCCTTGGCCTCTGCTTACTAGATACTAATGGTATTCCCTTCGTCCAGTTATGACAAACAAAAAACAATTGCCATTTTGAAGTATCAGAAGTTTTTTTGTTTGGAGGTTTTGTCCTTTTGGTTGACGTAACTGGAAGAAGAGAATACCATTGGTATCTAGTGGGCAGAGGCCAAGGATGCTGCTAAACATCCTACAATGCACAGGACAGTCCACACAACAGAGAATTATCGGACCCAAAAGGGCAATAGCGCCAAGGTTGAGGCACCCCTTTGCAACATGAAACAATGAGCAGCAGATAGGAGCTAACCTGATGAACCTGGGAGGCTTGTAAAAGCCAGATCATGGGAGGCCTTGGATTTTATACCAAGAAGCTTGGACTTTTTTTTACTGTGGATGATGAAGAGCCATGGAAAGGAAATTACATGATAAAATTTGGGTTTTAAAGATACATTTTCACTCTGAAGGTACTCTGAAGGGTACATCAGAGGAGGCCATGATTGGAGGCAGAAAAAGCCCTTGGGATACTGTTACAAAGCCCAGAGAGAAATGTGAGGGCCTAAGCTAAAATAGCACAAGAAGAGATCAAGGGAGAGAACAAAGTCAATACATATTTAGGATGTAAAAGTCAGAAGATGTTGGGAATTGCCTGGCTATGGGAAGGGCAGGGAGGATTGTGAGATAACTCCCAGGTTTCTCTCTCAGATTATTGGATAGATGATGGTTGGAGTTACTGAATACAGGAAGAGATGCATGGAAAAAACATAATGTATCTAGATAACAGTGCACAAAGGTCTCAGCTATTCTTTGGGGGAGATAAGATAGGTAAAAGAATCCACTCATTCAACAAACATTTTAATAGCAATTGTCAGCAGGGAATTGTTTACACTTAAAGCTAGCGAGTTCCATTTGCAAGCAAACTATTAGATTGAGACTTCATCTTTCAATTTAAGAAGAAATTTGGTATTATTTTGAGCGGGGTATCTAAGAGCCTTAATGGTTCTATAATTTCAGGAGATGGAGGGTTTCCCTTTTTGAATCTGGAGTCAACCACACTTAGAATTCATCTTGAGAGAAATATACCTGTGGCATTAACTAAGGTAAATAGGTTGGCAAGGACTTCAGCCAACCACTCAAGCAAGATTAAAATAATTCTGGCAAGAGAGATTTTCTTCTGGAGCTCTTGTCAGTATTGAAAGATTGGATTTTTTGGGGGGGAAGTTGATGAAAATGTTGGGTTCCAGCTATGGAGACTACTGGAAACAACAAAATGCAGAGAGGTAAAGTAGAAATTGAGATAATTTGTTTAGTAATCAATCCATACATGTGTTTCTGAATTTCCATGTACTGAACTGATACAGATTTGGGGACAAGGAAGATAAGTCCCCAAATCTGCACTGTTAGTGTCCCTGCAGTGGAGCCCAAAACATACCAGGATCTTTTGATGTAATTTAATTTTTGGAAAGGATATGATGTTTTTAAACAATTACAACTTAATGAGACTTTAGATGACTTGAGCACAATTATATTTGAGGTAATAGCTTAATAATATGGCCTATAATTTTTTTAACTTATTTTTATTTTTTGATTTCTGATCTCTTTTATGAACAAGAAATAAAAGAGGTAGTTCTTGAATAGTCCCATGACATAATAGTGTAACCACAATTTGTTAATACTACAAATAGTTATTAGCAAGCCTTCCAAAGTAAACTATGTGCTATACGTTCCTCTTTTTTGACCCTTATCTTATTAGTAGGCTTAATACGCTCTTTGTATGTCATAAATATATTTGTTCATTTCACTTTAACCTTATCTCTAAAATCTCACTGATTGAGTAATGTATAGGGACAGACATAAGGGCCACTTTGAAAGTTCAGATTAAGTTTAAGGGGAAAATATTTACTTTCAACCAGTCTAAAATATCCAACTTAAAGATGTAGATAAGCTCCAAAGAACTAATTCTTCAATCATCAATAATGCTGCCTCTGGTTAGAAATGTAAGTGAAAGGCCACAGATTTATCCCACAGCCTGCCATTTACCATTATTGGACTATGATTATAAATGAGTTTGACCAGATATTTTCCTCTTTGCTTCAGACAGTTATT
This sequence comes from Homo sapiens, assembly GCF_000001405.40. NCBI lineage: Eukaryota > Metazoa > Chordata > Mammalia > Primates > Hominidae > Homo > Homo sapiens. Next base: position 99,743,614 of record NC_000009.12, read on the forward strand.
CCTGGAAAAGTGCCTTAAAAGGAAGAATCTGACAATTGCAGGTTTCTGATGGATGTAGCTCTGGTGGAACCGCTGCCAATCCAGGCATTCAAGTCCCCTGAAATTATGTCAGCTAATGAATACTTAGAAAACATAAAGTTCAGAAGGCTGTCAAATTATCGTACAATTTGAAGTATCAGTATGCATGTGGTAGGAAAAACGTATATGTTAAAGCCCAGATCAGCTTTGCCAAGAGCTGGATTCATCTATAAATTCTATAAAGTCTATAGATGTGATTTTTATTCACTCAGGAAGTGCCACCTATGTGCTGGCCAACATGTGAGAGGTTTTCACAATGTATTTCCATTAATCTATACATATAAACAGTCCTTTTAAATAGTCGTTGTGGTCTCTCCTTTAGAAAGGAAGAAGAACAGCAAGAGTCCAGAGTCATCTTTCTAATAATTGTTAGAGCCAGGATTTAATCCAGGTCTTCTGACAATAAATCTATCTTTTTGTCATTATACTGTTCTATCTCCTGCAACTCCAGTTTCAGGAAATCAAGCTTAGCAGGTCAACCTGAGTTCACTATTTTCCTTCTCAATTTAGCTCCTTCTATTGGAAACCTACGAGCCCTCTGTCTTCTCCCCTCATGACCAAGCAATTGTCAAATCCTATCAATCCTACCCTCAAAACCCTTGTCAGTGTGGTGTGTGGTCCAGTATCATTGGTACCACCTGCATCTTCTTATAAAGTCAGCATCTCAGGCCCTACCCAGACCTACTGAACCTGAATCTGCATTTTCACAAGATCCTTAGGTGATTTATGGGCACATTGAAGGTTGAAAAGCACATCTCTAGTCTAAGCCCTCTCTGTCCCTGCTGCCACAATTATTCATCAGGCTCCTTATGTCTCTGAACAGAAGTGTTTATTAATCCCCTAACTAGTCTGCCCCACTTTTATTCTCTCCTCAATCCTTCACCACCCAATTCCTATTCGTACAATTCCCATTTATAAACCACCAACAGATCAATTCCTCTAAAGAAAAGATTAAGCTACTCTCTGCAACCCCCAGCCCCATCCCACCACCCACCCCACCCCTCACACCCATCTCAAAACCCTCCACTGGCTCCTCAGTGCCTATGGAAAAAAAAAAATCATAATAGTTAAAAAGTACATACTTTGTGCCACATATTTTATAAGCACCTCATGTGAACTCATTTACTCCTCACATCAACCTTGTGAAATTAGTACCATTATTATCTTCATTTTATTTTTATTTTATTTTTTAGGAGACAGGGTCTTGCCTTCTTGCCCAGGCTGGAGTGCAGTGTCACGATCCCAGCTTACTGCAGCCTTGACTTCCTAAGCTCAAGCAATCCTCCCGCCTCAGCCTCTCAAGTAGCTGGGACTACAGGCATGTGCCACCACGCCTGGCTAATTTTTATATTTTTTGTAGAGATGGGGTTTCATCATGTTGCCAAACTGTTCTTGAATTCCTGGCTCAAGCGATCTTCCTGCCTCGTTCAGTCTCCCAAAGTACTGGGATTACAGGCATGAGCCACCTGCCCAGCCTCCATTTTAAAGATGAGAAAACTGAAACTGGGGGAGGTTAAATAAGTTGTCTAAGGTCCTTTAGGCAGTAAATGCTGGAACCAGGATTAAGTCTCCAGCAAACTCCTTGTGGGGGCAGGGTAGAGGAGGGGGCGTGAGGCTGATCTTCATATTTACATGAAAAAGGAAGAGGAGGTCTTAGTCAAAGCCCCCTACCCCACTTTTTGCCAGGAATTTTGCCAAGCAATTCCACTTGAGTATACCATTTTCATCTTACACCAAGCCTGCAGCAAGGTTTTGATGTTACCGCTCCCATTTTCACAGATGAAACTAAGAATTAGAGAAAATTGAACCAAAGTTCAGTTAACTTCAAGACAATATACTTTCTCCTATATAGCACTACTGTTCCCCCCACTTAGGAAGTGTCTGCTTCATCTCTGAATGCCCTAATTTTACTATCTTTTAAGACCAGTACAAGTCTTATGCACAAAATTTTACCTTTTCCTCCAATTTAGAAGTAATCTTTCCCACCTCTGAAATATTAATAGCTCTTACCCCCATTTTTCTTTTGGCATTACTTTATATTTTTATAGCTACTTTTACATATGTACACATATGTAGATGTATGAAAAATTTTGGAATACTAGATCCTACTTCCTCTCAGTAACAGTGGTTATTGTTCCTGAATTTTTAGAAAATTCTAGAAAATTATTCTAGAAAGAAAAGTAAAATTAGAGCCATGATATTAAGAAAATGTAGTATGAACTCATGAACAGGAAAAAATTATAAGTGTAATTGAGAGTTGAAGAAAGAATTATCCTTGATAAGAATGAATTTGAGAAACAATAAAAATTAACATTTACTATCTAAATGTTTCCCATAAAATCAAGCAAAACCCTGTTATGGGTTGATTTCCATGCAAAATGTTTTCTGAGTTTTCTACTAGCTCATCAGTTATTTTCTGTCACTTTATTTACATATTTCATTCTATTTTATTTTTCCTGACAACCATTATCTGTTATAAACATTCCTTTTAGATGGCTCCATTCTGATAATAGTTCCAAAATTACCTTGATGTAAGTCCAGCCTTTTCTTACTACCTGGCATATACCATCCCCACAAATAGCCCACTTTATATTAAATGGAAAATACAGGGAGAGAAGAAGACTTGGCTTAAATATCTTTTTGAGGACTCCTATTGTGATAATTTCTGTAACATTAATAACTTTCTGGCAAATGTGTTTAGATGTGTAACAGCAGCATTATTTCTCCAAGGCCTACGTTTACATATTATATTATCCACCAAATAATAAAATGTATACTTTTTGCTCTTCATCATCTATGAATTACTACTGATCCCAGTAAAGAGCTTTATATTCTATAACTGAAAACAATCTTATAACTCAATAAATATTGTCTTATTGGCAGCAACCAAAAAAGCTTTCATTTCCTCTTTCACTGATGCTGACTCCCACATCTAAATAAAGGTCAGATTATTCCAGTAATTCTTTTCTTTTTTAAATGTGCTTCAAAAAAAGCAGAGTTCTGGAGTATATTTCCAAAAGCATTTTAAGATTCACTTGAAGAGGGGGATAGAGGATGCAGCTTTCAACCTGAATCCTTTCTAGGTAGAGCATCTCACACTGGTTTCCATGGAATTCCCTTTAGGACAAACTATAAGATCTTTATTTTAAGTCAAAGGAATACCCAAAAAGCCAAAACCAAACTTTAGATATATTACAGGGTTTTCTTGTTTGTTTGTTTTCTATTCTGTTCCAAAGAGAATTGGAATTACGTAGAAGTATACATGCAGCCTTGTATACTTGGAGTTTATATAATTTAACAATACTAGAATATACGTCTCATGAGGGGAAGCACCTTCACTGTTTTGTTCACTGTAGATTTTCTAGCACCTGGCACAGTCTCTAGCATATAATCTGTGCCTAATAAATTCTTGCTGAATAAATAAATAAACTCCCCTAATTTCACAGATGCAAAAACTGGAAGCCAAAGCAGTTGAATTGTCAGAGGTGTGTAAACCGGCACAACTCCATCTTGAATAGGAGCAGGGTAAAATAAGGCTGAGACCTACTGGGCTGCATTCTCAGATGGTTAAGGCATTCTAAGTCACAGGATGAGATAGGAGGTCAGCACAAGACACAGGTCATAAAGACCTTACTGTTGAAACAGGTTGCAGTAAAGAAGCCGGCCAAAAGACACCAAAACCAATATGGCCACATATGTACACACAGGTACACGTATGAATACTGGTCGTCCTCACTGTTACACTCTCACCAGCGCCATGACAGTTTACAAATGCCACAGCAATGTCAGAAAGTTACCCTATATGATCTAAAAAGGGGAGGCATGAATAATCCGCCCCTTGTTTAGCATATCATCAAGAAACAACCAGAAAAATGGGCAACCAGCAGCACTTGGGGCTGTTCTCTCTATGGAGTAGCCATTCTTTTATTCTTTTACTTTCCTAATAAACTTGCTTTCACTTTACTCTATGGACTCGCCCTGAATTCTTTCTTGAGTGAGATCCAAGAACCCTCTCTGGGGGTCTGGATCGGGACCCCTTTCCTGTAACAGAATGAGCTAACCAAAGCCATGCAGTGACTTTGTAGCCATCCTGGCACTAGAACTTCAGTCTACTATCTCTTACTTGGTGTCATTTCTGCTGATTTCAACATAAGCAAATGCAGGTGTTGGGGTGGGAAGAGAAGTGAATGAAAAGGGAAAATGAGATAGAAACCTGGAGACTGTTTTCAAACAACCCATCAGAAATCACGCAACGAAAAATGAAGTTATATATAAGATTGAGAAGGGAGTACTTCAGAAAAAAATTTTTTAAGTAAAAACTCTTCCAAGAATAAACAAAAACTTCACCTGTTTGATGTCCAAAACAACAATTACAGGATTAAAAAAAATCAGTTTTTAATAATAGAAAATTAGCCCGTATAAGGAAAACAATGAGGTCCACAAAACATAGCAGTTTAGTCATAAATTGAAAACTAGACCAAATGTCATTTGAGAAATACTTTGAAAAGGACCCCAAAAGCAATAAATCACTTTTTATAACATATTTTTTAAAAACAAAGTGGGCCGAATAATCTGAATAACAATTAAATGATAAGGATCTACAAGAGGTATGCTCAGGGAGATCTGATAGCAAATTGGGTAAATTAACCATTTCTCTTGGTCTTCATGGGGAAAAAAATTACTACAGGGGAGATTCATGCATCATGAGTTTCTTTTGAAACATACAAGTCAGGCCTTCTATATTAAGCAATGGTAAATGCCCATGAGTAAGCAGGAAAGAGGCAAAGAGGTTTTAATGTGTGTAAAGCACATATTTATGCAATTGAGGGAAAAAAATATCCTCAAGTTCATATTAAGACACTGTGTCAATGCAGGGAAAGGACATGGATATTTCTTGGAGGACACTGCCTCAACATACTACAGCCAAAAAAAAAATCAATTAAAATGCTACTAAGCAGATTCAAGTAGAATATTGAAAAACAGGCAGAAATATTGCCCACTTCTATTTAAAACTGTAGTTGATCCATGCTGGAAGAAAACATACATTTCTGACTACTGATGTTAAGAATAATATAATAGAACCTGACTAGAAACGGAAAAAAAAAAAAAAAGGAAGGCCTAAAATAGCCAAGGAGATTATGGAACTCAAGACACAGTTTATGTGCTTGAGAGCTGTACTTAAGCTAGAAGTTACACAATCCCTTTAGGCAGCATATCTCAGTATGTGAAGATGGCTGCCATTTTACTAAGCACTTAATCATGGACCAAGCATTGTGCTAATCACTTTATATTCATTATCTCATTTAAACTTCAAAATAATGTGAGGATGTAGGTATTATTATCACCCCTTTACAGATAAAGACACTGAGGTTGTAGATAGGTTAAGTAATTTGTCCTATTTCGCAAAGCAACTAAAAGCCTGAATATGACTTAATGCTAACCAAACTTCCAGGTAAAGATTTTACACAACATGTTACACTGCCTTCCCCACCCTCACTCCTACCCATTAATTGGACTTTTTGCTTCCCCACCATCCCTTGAGTGAGGCTAAACTGGTTTGCCTGCATCTTACCATGATATAACAAATTAAACAACTATAATTCTAAATATGTGCAAAAGGGACCATGTTTTATTCAACTTTGTGTCCCCAAAGCCTAGCCATTCCCTAGCACAAGGTAAATGTTCAAACGTTCAATAGACATGAATTGAATAAATACAATGCATACTGTACAACACAGTAAACTTCTGACAAGAAACACAGTTGCTTATGGCCGGATACATGGAGCCTGTATTTTAAAAATTGAATTTCAAGGACTACAACAGACAAAGGTTAGACTTTTCTACAATCAACACATTTCCTGTGACATAAAGGAATGGACGGTGTAGTACTAGTAGGTATAGAACAGGATCAGTGGATCACAGAAAACCAGTGCATTAAGGAGGGTTGCACGTGACAAACAATGGTGATGAACTCTGGCTAATTACTGAGAAAAATGAATTCATTGAAAGCTACTGGATAATTCACAGAATCAACACACAGGCTGAAGAACCAGGCTCAAAATATAAGCAGGAAAATACCGGTAACCAGAACCCCTGCAAAGGCCACATGCCAGGAATGCATGGTTAGGTGCTGAGCTGTCACCACTGAACTTTGGGTGACACCCCTGACACTGCCACCACCTGCGACTTGGGGAACCCTGCTAAAACTGCTGACACAACCACCTGTGGATGCTGGATGCCACAGCTACCACCATCACCTTAAGAAAGTCTGAACCGTCCCTGCTTCTTTAGGTTAACTCCCAGAGGATTCAAATTCTTGGGCAGGAGAATCTATGGCTGACGTTAGCAAACCCAAACTTAAGCTGTGAGGGAGAACAAATGCCTGATTTTTTTGCTCTGTAATGAGGTGGGTCCTGCTTCTCCCCAAGATGCACCCAAGATTCCCCAGACATAGAATGTGAATGCAAGGCCGGGCGCGGTGGCTCACGCCTGTAATCCCAGCACTTTGGGAGGCCGAGGCGGGCGGATCACGAGGTCAGGAGATTAAGACCATCCTGGCTAACACGGTGAAAACCCGTCTCTAAAAAAAAATACAAAAATTAGCCAGGCATGGTGGTGGGCGCCTGTAGTCCCAGCTACATGGGAGGCTGAGGCAGGAGAATGTCGTTAACCTGAGAGGCAGAGCTTGCAGTGAGCCGAGATCGCACCACTGCACTCCAGCCTGGGCAACAGAGCAAGACTCCGTCTCAAAAAAAGAAAGTGAATGCTGATGCTAGGGGATCACAAGAGAAAGATATGTATTTATTACAAAATCATGATCTAAGAAAAGGATCTAGAACTAGATTAGGATTGGCCTCCCAGCTAAGGAAGTTTCCAAAAATCTAGTATGGGAAGCTACACCTCCAGGCTTACTCCGTGTAGCGGGAGGGATGCATTACTGGAAAAGGTAGGATCACCGAATCAGCACTGTAGAGGGAGATTACCACGGGAGTCCCAGGAAGGGGATTTCCTACATTGTAAATTGGCGATTATAGTTTCATTCCCTTCAGAGGCCCTGAAGTTATGACATGCCTATGGACATAATTTCTTATCACACAACTAAGATGTTTGTCAATTACTTCCTCCCAGGCTGCAATAATTGATGCATCAGATGCCCTTCATAACAGTGATGAGGATGGAGCCAGGCGCCATGGCCTGTAAGCCCAGCACCTTGGGAAGCCAAGGTAGGAGGATCGCTTGAGCTCAGGATTTCAAGCTAGTAAGTCTTTGTCTCTACAAAAAAAAAAAAATTAATTAATTTAATTAGCTAATTAGCCGTGCATGGTGGTGCATGCCTGTAATCCCAGCTACTTGGGAGGCTGAGGCAGGACGACTGTTTGAGCCCAACGAGTCAAGACTGAAGTGGGCTGTGATTGTGCCACTGCACTCCAGGCTGAGCAATAGCGTGAGACCCTGTCTCAAAAAAAAAAAAAAAAAAAAAAAAAAAGATGATGACGGTACATGTACTGAGTTCTTACTAAGTATCAGGAGTTGTGCTACGGGCTTTATATGTACTAAATTATTTTATTCTCACAATAACCCTATGAAGTAGATACTATGATCATACTCATTTTATGGATGAGGAAAGTGAGGCAAAGAGGTTACTTAACTTGCCGAAGGACACACAACAGTGCCCAGACTGGAACCAGACAGTCTGCCTGCAGAACCATACTCTCCACTGCCTCTCTTTTGAGAGGATTTCCAACAAGCCTTAATGGGCTGATGGCTTTATTTTTTCATTTATTTCCTTGATCAGATCACCCACTACAGAAAATTAGCATTTTACACATCCAGCCTAGTACATCTGTGGCTCCTCCAGCACTCCCACGTGCACACCTTTATCAGCCCTTATATGGATCAAACCAGAGAAATGGGTGGCAAGACCCATTCGCCACCTCTGGCTGCCTAAGCATTTGATAGATCTCAATCTGTTGCACTTACTGACGGACCCTGCAAAGTCTCTATATTACCATTGTCCTCAGCACTGTAATGTATGTTCATGCATATGTATTTTTGACATAAAAACATTTCTGAGATAATCATCACTATATCAAATCAGCACTGTTTGAGGCAGCCCTAAATGAGGTGTACCTACATATTATTTGTAATTTATCATGTGGTGGTCATATAGTTATGTTTAAGCTGGTTGTTTAATGAAATGCATTCAGTAATATATAATCAGTTCTCATTATACTTAATTTTGCTATTTTTAAAATATTTTATTATGAAAATTTTCAAACATAGAGGAAAAGTTGAAAGAACTCTACAGTGAACATCCATACACCAACCACGTGGATTTTTGCAATTAACATTTTGCCATATTTGCTTTTATCATGTATCTGTCCATCTATTTGTCCTTCTATCCATCCATCAATCCATCTTATTTTCTAACGCATTTCAAAGTAACTTGCAATACCAGAATATTTCTCTCCAAATGCCTTGACATGCATATCATTAACTAGAGTTTAACATTTGTTTATAGTTCCTTTTTAAGGCAAAATATACATTCAGTGAAAAGCAAAAATATGAAATGCAATAGTTGATGAGTCTGACAAATGCATATCTGTATGACCCAACCTCTATCAAGTTATAGAACATTACTATCATCCCAGAAAGTTCCTTTGTGTTCCTTCCCAGCTGATCCCAGCCCACACTACCACACAGACAACCACCGTTCTGATTATTTTCACCATAGATTAGCTTTGCTTGTTCTAGAACTTCATATAAGTAGAATCATAAAATGTTTACTCTTTTGTACACTTTTTTCACCCACTATAGCTTTTGAGTTTGGGGTTTGTTTTTGTGTTTTTTTTTTTCATGTTGTTGCATGTTTGAGTGATTTGTTATTTTTGTTGCTAGGTAGTATTTGTTATTTGAATATCCCATACTTGTTTTATTCATGCTCTGATAGATGGACATCTGGGCTGTTTCCAGTATTTATTTATTATGAATAAAGCTGTTATGAACATTTTGCACAAGTGTTTTTTCTGTGGACATATTTTTCATTTATCTTGGGTAAATACGTAGGAGTGGAATTTCTGGATCATAAATAAGTCGTATGCCTAACTATGTAAGAACTTTCCGACCATTTTCCAGAGTGGCTAAATCATTTTACACATGCACCAACAATGACTAAGTGTGCTGGTTGCTCCACATCCTATCCAACATTAGGTAATACCAGACTTTTAAATTTTACCCATTCTATCGGATATTAAATGTTAGCCCATGTGGTTTTAACTTGCATTCCTGTGATGACTGATGAGGTTGAGCACATTTTCATGTCCTTATTATTGGCCATTCATATATCTTCCTTTGTGAAATGTCTGTTCAAATCTTTTACTCATATTTTAGGTGTTTTTCCTTTTTATTATCATAATATCTTTTATAAGATCTAAGTGAAAGAATGCTTTCAAGTCCATAATGCAAAATACATGAACTGGGCTGCCCCAGGTCACATTTTGTCTTTATATTAGTACCTATATTAATAAAAATTTTAATTTCTCATTAAAGAAATTCATACCCAATTTTTCACTGAACTCTTTTTTAAGACAAATATATTTAAGCCTCCTCCTTGTGATGAACCTGTATATACAGTGGGTATATATAGATATTGAACTCCTAGGCAAATGTTAAACTCCCTGGTCTATGTACACATTTCTATAAGAATATATATCTATATATTTCTACATGTATAGATAGATATATCACTTCCTCCCATCCTACATCTGTGATTATAATATTCTGATGATCTATTGTGTTTTCTAGGATCTCTGAAGTTCAGAGTTAAAATTCCATATCTTTCCATTTTTTTACAGACAAGATCCTGATCTCATCTTCTAAAGAACAAGTCTTGACTGACCTTATATGTGAATTAGTTCTCCTGACTAATCTTCTAGGTATTTGTAAACCACCTCGCTTGTTCCACCTGACTTCCTAATGAAATTGCTCACTTTGGATACTTGGTATATAGCTCAGCAAAAGTGTTGTCAATGCAAACCCTTAATATTATAAGGACATGAATAAAATAATATTAATAATATGCACAGAAGAGGTTATACAGAAGAAGAGATGAGTAAAGTAGAATGGTTGGGATTCTTTAAGTTGCAAGGTAACAGAAACCCAGATGGAATTAGATTAGTCAAAAAGGGAAATGTATTAGTTTGAGTGCTATAAGAAGGGCAAGGCTACAACTGGACCTCAAGACAGAGACTTGAATATAAGCAACTTCACAACCAGAAACCTGAATTCCACCAGAACTTCCCTGTCTCATCATTGCTTTTCTCTGCAAGTTTATTTTATTCTTTTAAATTAGGTGCAAGCAGATGATGAAGAAAATGGCTGCCTAGAGCTACCATTACCTCCAAAGAAGAACAGATCATTCTTTCACTGGTTCCTAGTTCAAAAATCCAAATGATGAGTTCTGACTACCTTTTAGCCATCAACTGGAACCAGGTGTAATGTCTGTGGAAACATGGCAGCTCACATTCAAACCAACTGACAGGAGTGCTAGAAGGAGCATTTCCCAGAAGGAGTGGAAGAAGAGTGAAACCCGTGAAGCAGACAACATAATGGAGATTCGCTACAGATAGTATAACCAGAGCCCCAAAATGATTCAGGCAGATGAAGGAGAATGAAGCTACAAAGATAGAGAAGGATTGAGGGAAAAGCTTAATGTGGGAGGATAAGAGCAAAAGCCTATTTCTGTGGAGACAGAACTCTCTCTGTCGCCTTCTTTAGATAAGATATTTTAATAAACATGTAATAATAGTCCTAAAATGTCCTATCTCCTCACTCCCCACACCTAACAGAAATACTCAGTGTAACACAGGGAAAATCCTAACCCCCCTTCATTCAGCCATCTCCAGTCCATTTTTCTGCCGTTTCTCCTCAACTAATATGCCAAAATACCACATAAGATTTTATGTAGCCCAACAAGCCCAACCTTCCACTTTCTGACATAATTATAAGTAAACAAACAAAAACAAAGGAAGCCAGTCACAACTTTAAGACACATTATTTGCTTAAAACAAAGATAACCACCTTTGAGGTGGATTGAATTTGTTTTTCAACAACACCGATGTATCCTAAATGATTTGGAGAAAAAAATGCAGAAATAGTTGAACCAAACAGAAATTATAATTAGGCTGACAGTTGGCTAAAACAATAACCCCACTCTAAGTGACTAGGTTAATTTTTTAACCAAAATAAATATATTTATGTGCTGAATCCAATAATGATTTAATATTTGATTTTTTAACGCGGTATTTCTACTGTGTGGTACATCCTCAGTAGATGCTTGTCAAATAAGTGATGCAGGGTCCATGGAAACAGAAAGAAAGAAAAACATACCTCTTCCTTTAGGAAGGAGGTCAAGAAAAGCTTCGTGAGTTCATTAAAGGAACAAGGTGGGTAAAGAAATTGTAGATAACTAAAGACCATGTGCAAAAACATTGGCCTGAACAAGCCAGGAAATGCCAATTAGCTCACTATAATAAGAATAGAGAGGACAAATGGGACAGAGTGGTGAGAGATGCAGTAAGAAAAATCAGCAGAGGTCAAATCATAAAAGGTTTTATAAGTCATGTTAACAAATTAATTCTTCATTCTAAAAATGATGAGGAGCCTCTAAAGATGTTTAAGCTGAGAGCAGGTGAGAGAGAGGAAAAAATAATATTTGCCAGTTTTCACATTTTATAAAAATCATGTCAGATGTTGAATTTTGATTTTGAGTCATGAGAAAACAAATGGAAGAGTTCTAAGCCAGAAGTTCAGGAGAGTAATTATAGGTGAGTATTATATTAATTTATGAGTTAAATGATGAAAGGCCTAAATTGAGAGATTATAAAGTATTTTGTCAGAATAAATGATAGCATTTGAATCTTGGAAATAAGGGAGATGAAGAGACTAGAAGTTCCCGGCTTCTATTCTGGGAACTAGACTATGTTGGTGCCACTATCCAAGATCAAGAACAGGGAAGGAGAAAGTTTATAAGGGGACAGCAATTAGCTCAATTTAGGACATAGTATGTTCCCTGGGATACATCCAGGTGAGCCATGGGCCCAGGAGGCAGTTGGAATTGTGTGTCTATCATTTGAGAGAAAGAACTGAGTTAGAGAAAAAGATTTGGAACTACAAGCAGAAAGGTGGTAATTGAAGCTATGAATTTTCATGAGACAATCTAGGGGAGCATAAGAAATAAAAAAGAAGAGGCCTTAGGACAGAAGCCTGATTATGTTCAATTTATTTTTTCTTTAGCCTGTTTCTCAATAAGGTACCTATTTATAAAAATTAAAGATATAAAAAATGCACTTCAACTGAAAAATTAGCATAGGACATAAAGGGATAATTTGTTACATGAAAAATACAATGCAGTACCCACATAGAAGATGTGGTTAATTCACTTGGAAGGGGGTAATTACATTCAACAACACAACTCCCTCAAAGGATCTTGAGTGAAAACCCTCTACTTTCAGGTCAAGTGGGTAGTGGATATGCGAAGACACAGACGGCATCTTTCACACGCATTCTCCCTGAAGGCCAAGTGCTAACCACAGAACTTTTTGTACTGATGCCTAGATAGCTACAGAGTGTCCTGAAGGCCATTCTGAATGGCCTATGGGCCATTTGCCCAGGTCATGAAAGGCATCCATGATGTGAGAGATGCACTAAGTTAAAGGTAAGTAACAGGGCTGCAAACGACAGTTGCCATGGGATGAAATGCCATGAGAAAGCAGCAAGTTGGGGAATGAGTTTCTTACGACCCAGTAAGAAAAGTGGATCTCAAAATTTTCTGTAGCCCACTAACAATGACTTGAATGATAGGAGGAATTATATTGTTGAAACATGGGCATGGACATGAAGCTAACCACCTTTTACTAGCATGATATACTTCTCTGATATGGCAAATCTCTGAAGGGAAAAATGAGTCCTCCCCCTTGTGTTCTCAAACAAACATTTTTCAGAGTTGGTCTAGATACACTGCAGGAGGCTTATAAAGCCCATCCAAAGCAGGGATCTATGTGACAGTAAGTCAGATAAGTAGATCATGTTACCCAAGAAGACCGTAATGATTCAGCATTCATCCAAGATGTAATTCACTGGATATCGGAAGATGGCCATGGAGTTTATATGCCAAATGGTCTTACCATGTATCAGGACTCATCAAAATACACCTGCAAGGATGGCATCTACATGCCACCTTTCTAGGAACAATGATAAAACTGTCCTGGCTGTCAAATTTCATAAAGACTTACTCCCCATGTTCAAGAAAATAGTGATAATGATGATAAGTGCTACCATTTATTGAGTACCTATAATGTGCCAAACCCTATGCTGAGAACTGTGCACATATTAGTTAATTTAATTCTCACAACAGCCCTGTGGTAGATAAACAAGACTTATAGCAACTTCTACAAGGTCACATAGTTAGAAAGTAGTAGAGTCAGAAATCAGAGCCTGATCCTCCTGGCTCCAATATCTGTGTTATTCACTTTATATTATATATTGCCTGTTCTACTGAGAGCCAGTAAGTGTTGTATATGATGAGCATGCTGAAGTAACAGTTGTCTTGCCAGAAATGGTGAACACCACTCCACCATTCTTTTTATTACAAAAGAGAACCAAGATAGCCCCGCAGGAGATGATAAATCTTCCACCATAAGTGTTGTCATACTTGAGAAGGACTTCAGTCTTGAGTTGAAAAGAGAGAACAGCCTTGGTTCTGTGGCAGCAGAAACGCCAGGCTTGGCCAGGTGCGGTGGCTCATGCCTGTAATCCCAGCACTTTGGGAGGCCAAGGAGGGCAAATCACCTGAGGTCGGGAGTTCGAGACCAGACTGACCAACATGAAGAAACCCCGTCTCTACTAAAAGATACAAAATTAGCCGGGCATGTCGACACATGCCTGTAATCCCAGCTACATGGGAGGCTGAGGCAGGAGAATCTCTTGAACCCAGGAGATGGAGGTTGTGGTGAGTCGAGATCACGCCATTGCACTCCAGCCCAGGCAACAAGAGCGAAACTCCATAAGAAAAGAAAAGAGAAAAAAGAAAAGAAAAGAAAAGAAAAGCCAGGCTCAAGCTCTATCACATCCCATCCCAGTGATGGGCACAGAAAGTGGAGGCCAAGTCTTTCAAATTCCCACATGAGAATTCTCACCTGTTTGCGGTAGAGTTGTTCAGAATTCCTGTTGGAGAGGAGGCAAATGGAATGGCACATAGCCGGGAACAAGCAAATGTTGGTGGCAGAAATGTGAAGTGACTTAAAACATATCTGGGGTATACTTAGGGGGAAGTTAAAGTAGCTTGAACATCCAGTGAAAAGTAGACACAAGCATTCTTGACTAACTCTTTAGATACAGGTTAAGGAGGACCTTCTCTTCAGAATGTGGCCTCACAAATAAGGACACCCATGAACAATGTCTGAGCTTTTGAGTCAGATAGAGAGCCTGGCCTGCTAAAACAAGGCTTCATCCACAGAGCTGCCCAATACTTCATCATGGAAGCTAGAATCCTTGGCTAGGAATACCTCTGAAAAGCAGAACACCCATTCTTAAACTGGGACTTAAAAGATAGTAAGAGTGGGAGACCCACTGTCCCCTGTGGAATTCTAAGTCTGGACTGCCAGCAGCAGTGGATATACATACATTTATACTTACATACACATATGTGTGCCCACATACACACACCAATAGAGATGGGTATACCACTAGTATTGTCTCCACCCTGAGGACAAAGTCTACCAATTCAGAAAAGTGTTAAAGATTTCAGTACCAGTTCAGTGTGAAGAACTCTCCTGAGGCTTCCTTGGAATTCAGCCCCAAAAAAACTTGAGTTCTTCCATTTTACCTCCAGGGTAAGAGGCCAGGACAATCACTGACCCCCACCTCATGCTGAAGCCTAAGCCTATGGATATCACTGATGGCATTCCCATCTGCTGTCACAGTGGGATAAAGAATACCAACAATTACAATGTGCTTGGCAATATGCAAGGGTAATAATAATATTCCCCCTAATACTGTGGCCATTGTCTATTCTATGACTACTAAAACTTTTTTTCTTCCAACTTTTAGTTTAGGTTCAACAGGTACATGTGCAGTTTGTTACATGGGTAAATTGTGTGTCACTGGGGTTTGGTGTACAAATGATTTCATCACCTAGGTAGTAAGCATAGTACCTGATAGGTAGTTTTTTTTATCCTCATCCTTCTCCCACCCTCCACTTTCAAGTAAGCCCCAGTGTCTTTTGTTCCCCTCTTTGTGTCCATGTGTACTCCGTGTTTAGCTCCCACTTATAAGTGAGAACATGCTGTATTTGGTTTTCTGTTCCTGCATTAATTTGTTTAGGATAATGGCCTCCAGCTGCATCCCTGTTGCTGCAAAGGACATGATTTCATTCATTTTTATGGCTGCATAGTATTCCATGGTGTATATGTACCATATTTTCTTTATCCAGCCCACTGTTGATGGGCATCTAGGTTGATTCCATGTCTTTGCTATTGTGAATAGTGTTGTGATGAACATATGAGTGCATGATTCCTTTGGTTGTATATCCAGTAACAGGATTGCTGGATCAAATGGTAGTTCTGTTTCAAGTTCTTTGAAAAAACTCCAAACTGCTTTCCACAATGGCTGAACTAATTTACATTCCCACCAGCAGTAAGTGTTCCCTTTTCTCTACAACCTCACCAACATCTGTTATTTTTTGACATTTTAATAATAGCCATTCTGACTGGTGTGAAATGGTATCTCATTGTGGTTTTGATTTGCATTTCTCTAATTATTAGTGATGTTGAGCATTTTCTCATATGCTTGTTGGCCACATATATGTCTTCTTTTGAGAAGTGTCTATTCATTGTAACTACTAAAATTGCACATGGAAATGACACAGAAGAGTTATGATTATATCATTTGTTCCCTAATGGTCACTCTTGAGATTCAATATGAAGTTATTATTTGATCTTGTCCACAAGGAAATAAGAATATTATTTCACTCCTACCACCTATGAGGAAATTCAGCCTTTCTTGGACCTCTGCTGAAAAAATGAGTCCTCAGAAAGTCAAAGCCTCATCTGTAAGATGATTTATAGAAATTTAAGGAACAGAGTCTTGAGATCTGGGAATAAACTGAATACTTTTGAAAACAGTTTAAATAATATTCTCATTCCATTACCAGAAATGATTGATTACTTCTGAATATGTAATAATTTTCCAGATTATCTTCCACAACTGTAACTTTTACCCTGGAAACTGGACTCTTATTATAGAATGGCACTGTGACAACTGAGTTTTCTTTAGACAGTAAGTGAATTGACAGTTACTTTGTATCAACCAGACATTTAAATATTTATGTGCAAAATCATAATTATGTAAACATTTGACAAAATATTCTAACCCAGAATACACACTGAAGAGAATATTCCTGAATCATTTCTTCTGACTTACTGACCAACTATCACATTTGTTTAATATATATAGGCTCTGATCTTTTGATTGGGTCAATTTCATATTTTCCAGGTTTAGTCAGATTTCAAATTTGAATCAATTCCTTAAATTAACTTTATAATCAATTGTCACATCTCTTTTCATTCAGAAAGAAGGAGGGCAGAAGTTAGAACTCCAACAAACTCACAGTAAGTTGCTTACCCACTCTGGAATTAAATTCTTCATTTGTAAAATCGTGTAGGTGGGGGAGGGAGGAATTCTGTAAAATTCTATGAGTACTGCTAGCATTTGAAATCATTTTCATTTTCTTGATTCTTCTCTCAACTTTTCATCCCTATTTGTCTCTTGATTACCACTCAAAAATCCTCTCATTTACCTTATTAATTCCCTTTTCCATTCTCTTCAGTGGCCTTTCAAAACTTTCTCTTCCTCTAGGTTCCTAAAATCCCCAATCACAAGACTCCACTTCTAGTTAGCTACTTTTCTGAGAAAACTGGAGCCATTTGAAGTGTTTTTCTTTGTACTTCCTTTCTCTTCCCCTCTGAATTCCTTCACACTGTATATTGTATTTTGCCTTTCAATCTTTGGCTCCAGGATGAAATGAATGTCTCTCCTTCTGGCAAGGTCATGTCCTTCACCTTTACTCTTGATCATGAACCCTCCCAAATCCTTACTTCCTTGCTCCTTCCATTCTTTTTCTTGAATCTTTGATTCCTCCAGACCAGTGATCTCTTCTTCTGCCTCCTCATGTAGATGAAGTCTTTAAAAATAAACAAACAAACCAAACCTTCTCTGGACTCTGCCCCCTCCCACAAGTTTCCTCCTCTTATCATCCCTTCAAAACCCAAACTATTAGAAGAGTGGTCTACCTTTGCTTTCTACATTTCTTCACTTGCTCTTACTCACAAATTCCCTCTAGGATCACAAATGACCTCCTACACACCAGACCAACTTCATTCTCTCAAGCTTCCTATGACATTTAAAACTATTGATGGCCTTATGCCTCCTGAAACCCTCCATTCCTATGGTTTTTCTTTTGACCCTGTACTATCCTGCTTCTCCTGTGAATGTCCTGGCCATGCCTCCTCTGATTATTCTTGACTCTCCTGCCCTGTGACACAAGCTCTTCACTATGGTTTTAGCCTTAGTCCTCCTCTCTGCATCCCCTCTGTCTATCCATTCATAATCCACTTCTTTGGGACTCTGTTGACACCTGAATCTCCTGTCCAAAAGTTCTCTCCCAAGCTCCACGCGTACATCTCTACCTGAAAGATAACTTCACCCATAACACTAGAGTTTCCTCAAAGGCACAAACCTTATTTTACTCATTTTTGTACTTCAACCTCTCACCTCCGCCATCCAGAGCCTAAAACAAGGTTTAGGAACTCAATAAACATTATTTAAGCAGAACAAAACAGTACTTCCCTACCAGCACATGAAACTCAACCAACATGAAATTAACAGCGGTCTGGTCCTTCTGACTTTCCTATTTCTCTTAATAGGACTTTCCTATTTCTCTTACCAACTTCTAATCCCCAGAATTTAAAATCTGAGCTTCAACTTTGACTTGTTCTTTTCCCAGTCCCTTGTATCTAATAAATTATCATATGTTGTTGATCCTGCCTTTGTTATATGTTTTACATCTATCCACTCATTTACCTTCCTTCTATCATATCCTCAAAGCTTTAATTACCTCCCACATATTTTCTTGTAATAGCTTCCAGAATCAGTTCCTCCGTCTCTCCTACATACTACTACCAGATTAATCTTCATGTAATATACTTCTCATATATTACTCCACACCTCAAAAATTCTTAATATTTATCCCTTGCCTAGCAATTACAAATGTCTTTCCTTAGCATCCAAAGTTCTTCATAATATGGCCCCCAAAATGCCTACATGCTTGGAAGGACTAGAGATCTACTCAAGTTACCTCAAAAAAAAATTTTTTTTTTTTTGAGATGGAGTCTTGCTCTGATGCCCAGGCTAGAGTACAGCAGCACAATTTTGGCTCACAGCAACCTCTGCCTCCTGGATTAAGCGATTCTCTTGCCTCAGCCTCCTGAGTAGCCGGGACTACAGGCGCGCACCACCACGCCTGGCTAAGTTTTGTATTTTTAGTGGAGATGGGGTTTCGCCATGTTGGCCAGGCTGGTCTTGAACTCCTGACCTCAGGTGATCTACCTGCCTCAGACTCCCAAAGTGCTGGGATTACAGGCATGAACCACACCATGCCTGGAATTTTCTTTTTTAAGAGACATAGTCTTGCCATGTTGCCCAGGCTAGTCTTGGACTCTTGTACTCAAGTGATCCTCCTGCCTCAGCCTCCCCAGTAGCTGGAACTACAGGCATGCACCACCACACCCAGGTAAGAAAATGTTTTAAAGCACACTCATTGTTCAATTGATAACTGTCAGAAAACAAGAAAGCTCTAAAACTCAACCACTCTCTCTTTCTATCCGTGTTGCTGCTTCTCCTTTCAGTTTCCCTTCTATTACTCTGCTTCCTCTGTTTATGCAGTTTCCATTCTCTGATAGTTTCGGCTAACACAGCACAATGTGGTCACTCCCAATACCTTTTAAACCTTGATAACTC
This sequence comes from Homo sapiens, assembly GCF_000001405.40. Classification (NCBI taxonomy): domain Eukaryota; kingdom Metazoa; phylum Chordata; class Mammalia; order Primates; family Hominidae; genus Homo; species Homo sapiens. The sequence continues at coordinate 99,762,766 of NC_000009.12, forward strand.
TCAACACTTCCTTGTAGTTTCTGCCCCCACTAATTGGTTCAGTCTCTTAATTTACCAATTCCAAATGGCCCGTCTTTTCATGCTAGACCATAGAAATGTCACAGAACAGCCTATGGATGATGGGTACTTGGATCAGAAGCCCGCTCTATTCCAATCAGCTGTGATCCAATCACATGGGGAATGGGCAGGATAACAGGTTTAGAGAATAGACTCATTGGAAGCAGGGCCCTGAGCAGAAGAGATTCTTTGAGAAGGAGGTGGGGAAGAGCAAGCAATGTTCAACACCTCCAGGGCATTACATTTTCCTGCCTACCTATTCTCCTACAAGCACACCACACTCCTTTCAAAGTGGAATTGCTATCTCCCAAACCCATTCCACAATTCATTATCCCATGCCTTTGCTCACACTGTTCTCTCTGCTTTGAATAATCTCTAACCCTGTCTTATCATCTCAAAATGTACTAGCCAAAGGATGTGAGTGGATATAGAAGTAATTCAGAGAACAGTCAATGTACAACAAGAAAAGAAAGCTATAAAAAATTAATTGAGCACAAAGAAACAAAACTAAAAATAATGTGGGATATTGCCAATTAAATTAGCAAAAATAAATTTAGAATGATTAATGTACATTACGAGAGTTTTATTTCTTCCTATAAAATATAGCTAAGGGTAAATGCATTTAACTCATGTCAAAATTCCACAAAAATGTCCGAATATAAATAAAAAGAAGATGACCACATCTAATATCAAGAACCTTGAAAATAATAGCACCATATCAAGTAGTATTGAGAATACAGTATGGCTGATGATATTGCAAAATAGTAGAACACTTTTAGAAAGCAATTTACCAACATAATTCATTTTGGAAAGTACAGAAAAAATTAAACAGGAAAACAAAATTCCTTTCCAATTTGATCATCTAGAGAAAATCACTTTTAACATTTTGGTACACAGCATTCCATAGTCTCATATTATATATATTTTTTATTCTTTTTCTTTTTTTAAATAAAATTTGCATCAAACTAGGTATACTGTTAATTCTGAGTATCATGAACCTTTGCCTATGTCATTAACAGTCTTAAAAAAACGTTGTTTTTAATGGTTGCGTCGTAATTTATTACATGAATAGGTGAAGACAGATTTTTAACAAAAAACTCCTAATGCTAGACTTCAGATTTTGTCTTCTTTTTCATTATTACTGAAATACTGTAATGACCATCCCTGTATGTAAATCTTTTATGCACACCTCTGATTATTCTCTTAAAATAAATTCTCAGAGTACAAATATTTAAAAGAATTTTTAAAAAGTACTTCTAAATGTCAATTTAACCAAAACTGTGACCTGACAGTAGAATAAGAAGGGCAGGAAGGAGGAATAGATAGTCTAAGAAAACTAAAGCCCCACTATCCATAGTGGAAAGTCATTGGTGCATAAAATGAAGGAGTTTTAAAGTTAATATAAGTCTGTTGTTTAGAAATAAGGAGGTGAAAAACTTAATAAAGTGGAACAGTGAACAGGAATCAGGTGTGGGAAAATATGCCACAGGACACTGCTGTATTCATCATAAGTCTTATTTGTTTTGACTTTTTAAACTATGCATTTATGTTGGTTTGATAAAGATACAAATCAAATTAAAAATAAAAACCAGCAGTACCATTCAGATGTGAAATATAGCAGATATACAAGTTAGTTTAAGTGTCCACAATTCTCATAATTACAGAGGAATATATATAAATACATATATATATGCTACAAAGACCTTAAATTGATAATTTTGTGAATTTTTACAAAGAATCCTCTGTAAACCAAGCATGTGCTGTGACAGATACAAATAAATACTCTATTTTTTATGCTTTCCAGAGATAAAACAATTATTATCAACAGTAGAAATAATCTCTCCACATGGCTCAGCTAAGTAATATTTAAAAATTACCTATGCAGAAAACCATCAAGTTTCCTCTTAAAAATTTATAAAAATAGAGGCAAGTTAACATACCAGCTATTCAAGGTAAAGTTTAAGAAAGTAGTGAATTTTTCTTTAGAAAAACTCTTTCATTTTTTCGCCTACTAGAGAACATGCTATAGGCAGTCCTCACCAAAATAAAAAATTGGAAAAATAACAGGAAAACTAGCATAGTGGGAATAAATGAAGATTTAGAGACCTTAATTCCCAGGAAACTTTGTCATAGATCTTGCCATTTGTACTTGATAAATGTTTATTTCTTCTTAGTTCACTTTATTCCTGTCCCAGGAAAAGAGAAGTTCTATCACACCTCAGAATATTAGTACCTGCAGAAAAAAATCCTCATAGTGGCCCCAGACCCAAATTATTCCCCACAACGTGGAGGGCACCTGTATAGTAAATAATAAATCAGGTGAGTCTCCACTACCCAAAATTGTTGTTTTTGTCTCCTTCACCAAGTAGTACACAAAATGGAGCTTTTAGAGCCAGACTCCTGTCTCTTGTTCCTTCCTCATAGTCTTTTTCTGTCCTTTTCCTCCTCACCACTCCACATTTTTCCCTTAATATTTTCCACTTCTTTCTTTCCCCAAACCTCATTTCTGGGTTTTCCCTCTTTCTCTCCTACGACCTCACCCCCACTCCATCCACATCAAAGAACTGAGGTGAGGAAGGAGAACGTTTCTTGCTCTTCCTCTATTTCCCTACATGAAAAATAACTGTAAATTTTACCTCTGGGTAATAGAAGTCTGCAATGAAGGCATCTAACAAAAAACCAGCTGACCTTGTAAGTATATCTCAGACTAAACTATGTGTAAGTTTATTGGAACTTCATGAACACTTTTATTTTTGCCTTTGAGTAACTACCATTTGGGTACATTTATTTTTATTTTCAATGGTAAACTAAATGTATAATTGTGTTTTCTATTTCTACATTTATTATACCCCCTTTAAAATGTTTTGTCTAATGACTATTATGCTACTTTAGCATCCACTCACATAATGCTTCCTTCGCCAGCCTTTACCAAAATCTCTCTCTCTCTACCAAATAATGGGTATTTGGAAGAGAAAGGTGAATGTTCCTTATTCTCATCCAGGTCTCTGTACTGACCAACATGGGTCTCCGTGCCAAGAAGTAAACAACATTATGTTCAGTCCTTGGGAGCAGCTACATCCAAATATTATATGGAGAAAAGTTCAAGTTCTCGTATAACATGAAACTTTGAACTCTGAAAAATGTGATTTAGAATCCCAACAAATCTGACTTTTGGAATGAACATTCCATCTTCCAGTCATAATGGAGATATTACAAGAAGAACCTGGAAGAGGAGGATAAGATTATTCTATTTGACGAATACCTCAACTAAGAAATGGGAGAGGATGCCAGAAATAGTTGGCTAAAAAGTAATATGGCAAGTATTTAGATTGTACAAGCAAGCCTTTACAGAAAATCTAAATTTCGAAAAATTATATTCAAAATTATGCTTGAAGTATAATAAATCCCAAAATATCACCTTAAAACAGTCATATAAATTAGGATGGCGCCCACGGGTCTAGGACTAAGGCAGAACCCATAGCCAATATTTGTCGGTGAAGAGACAAACTGCTGAATAGAGTTAGTACATAAATTTAGGATTACAAAGTTCTACCTTCTACCAGAACAACTAGGTCAAACTGTTCCCACTAACAGATTTTCCATTCCTCTTTTGCAGTATCATGGGCTAACCAATTCATAATCGATTTTTTAAAACTTTAACAGGCCCACTATATGTTAATCATTGGGTTAGGGAACTTATGAACAAAATATCAAAATTCTAAGTAAAGACAAAATTAGTATTGCCTTAGGCTCCAATATGGCTTGGCAAGGTACTATTACTGATTCTATCTTTATTTAAAATGTCAACATTTTGTTTATCGTACATCTTTGCATTGATTTTTTAAATATTGCATTAAAATGTTATTTAACCTTGATTACTGAGTTTTTCCGTTTCCCTTTAAATTTTACACTCTAGGTTTGACAGTTAAGTTTATGTGTCAACTCAACTGGGCCGTGGGGTGCCCAGATACCTGGTTAAATGTTATTTCTGGGTGTATGGGAGAGGGTGTTTCTGGAAGAGATGAGCATTTAAATTGGTAGACTGAGTAAAGCAAATTGTCCTTCCTAATGTGGATGGGCCTCATCCAATCCATTGAAGGCCTGAATAAAACAAACGGCCAGGTAAAGGAGAATTCTCTCTCTCTCTCTCTCTGTCTGAGTGCCTTCAAGCCGGGGCACTGGTCTCCTGCCTTCAGACTCAAGCTTGGACTGAAACCTACACCATGGGCACTCCTGCTTCTCAAGCCTTCAGACTTGGACTGGAACTGTCTACCATCGGCTCTCCTGGGTCCCCAGCTTGCTGACTGCAGATCTTGGGACTCATCAACCTCCATAATTGCATGAGTCAAGTCCTATAAATAGTAAGTAAATAAATAAATAAATAAATCCTGTTAGTTCTATTTTCTGGAGAACCCTAACCACTATACTAGACAAGTGGCCCACTCTCCTCTTACTTGTCTCAAATTGATTTCTTTAGGTCACATGTTCCAGATGCAGCTAAGAGATGGCGGAGTTTCCATTGCCCTGGGTCCTTGATGTACCAAGTCCCCCTGCTAACTCATGACGGACAGGTGGCATGAGAGAGAAAAAAAACTTTTGTTTAATCCTACTGGGATTTGGGGGTGAATTTATTATTACCAAAATTGTAATAGTGGTTATTGTTGGATAGTATAATTGTGGGAAAAAATTCTTCTGAAAAGGGCAGGTTTTGATCAAACCTTGCTCAGAGTTTACAATCTACAACAGGGGTTGGAAAAGTTCTTCTGAAAAAGGCCAGATAGTAAATATTTTAGGCTTCGTAGGCCTTGTGGTCTCCATTGCAGCTCTTTAAATATGCTATCGTAGTACTAAAATACCATAGACAATACTGAAATGAAAGAGTGTGATGTATTTCAATAAAACTTTGTTATAAAAATAGGCTGTTGCCAGGGCACGGTGGCTCACACCTGTAATCCGAGCACTTTGGGAGGCCAAGGCGGGCGGATCACCTGAGGTCAGGAGTTCGAGACCAGCCTGGCCAACATGGTGAAACTCTTTCCCTACTAAAAATACGAAAATTAGCCAGGCACGGTGGCACACGCCTGTAGTCCCAGCTACTTGAGAGGCTGAGGCAAGAGAATCTCTTGAACCCAGGAGGCGGAGGTTGCAGTGAGCCTAGATCGCACCACTGCGCTCCAGCCTGGGCTATAGGTTGATGGAAACTCCACCATCTCGTAGCTCCATCTGGAACATTTGACCTAAAGAAGTCACTTTGAGAGGTAAGGCAACAGCTTAAGAGTCTCACAGTGGCTCTTCTATGCTTAGCCCAGAAATGACACACATCACTTTCACCACAGTCCATTGTCTAGAACTAGTTACATAATTACAGGCAACTGTAATGGGGAGGAGGTTAGAAAATCTCAAGGAGATAAAATGCGACATTTGTGAGCACCACTCTTTGTCACACTAAAAATCACACTAATATACAATTTTATTCCTCTCTTTGCCCTTAAAATTGTATTATATATATCATAGGCTTTTCCCCACGCCATTACATCTCTTCATAAACATACATATAAAAGCCTCCACTCCTAAATCATCACTTTAGGCTTTTCCTAAGTATTTTATGTGCATTTTCTTATTTAATTCCTACAACTAGTTTATGAGGAAAATACAATAGTATACCCATTTACGGTCCTGAAAACAGAGGCTTAGTGAGCTTAAGCTATCAAGTGGCAGATCTGGGACTCAGGGTTATCAGACTTCAAAGCCCATCCTCTTAGCCTATATGAGGATGAACTAAAGAACTGTGGTCCTGGTGTGAGACACACAACCACTGCAATAGGTTATTGATCAGAAAGTGCATCAGTGGAGTAAAAAAGGATGCATCAAACCCTAAGGACCCATTATTGCCAGTAACATGTGGACAATAGAATCAATGGCATTGAAACCAATGAAAGCCTGATCAAATTTTCTAATTCTTTCTCTCTCTTTCTCTGTGAGGTGTTTGGAAAGATAACTGGCCTCTTTGGCTTCATTAAGGCAGCTGGATTCTTGGACCATCTTGGAGAGAAGGAGAATCCTAGAAACATAATGGACTCCTACTACTCTGGAAATTTGGAGTTTAGCCAGGTTTCAATTGGAAAAAAAATAGAAGAATAGTAAACAGAGGGATCTTCTTTTTAAAACTTAACTATAGCTATTCTATATTTGATATATGTTCGCTACTTAAAGTAAGGATTTCTAGAGTTAGTGGAGAGCGATCTTTCTCTTTTTGCCATCCTCACCTGTACACCCAAGGAAGACAAGAAGACATTTATACCCACGGTTGTGGGTTGAATTGTGCACCCTCTCCCAAATATATGTTGAAATCCTAACCCTAGATACCTCTAAATGTGACCTTATTTGGAAATAGGGTCTTTGACATGCAATCAATTTAAAATGAGGTCATATTTGATTAAGGTGGGCTCTAGTTTAGTGACTGGTGTCCAGGTCCATTAAAACCTGTTTTAATGTACAGGTTTCTATTGTATACAAGCTTTAGTATTTTTTACATATTCATGTCTTGTCATGGTAACTCAATAAATTGTAGGACTCACTGTGTGTCATCATATATCTTAAAATTCATATTGAACTAAAGGATTTATAGTAAAAACACTAGCTGGCCAGGTGTGGTGGCTCACACCTGTAATCCCAGCATTTTCAAGGCAGGCAGATCGCTTGAGCCCGGGAGTTTGAGACCAGCCTGGCCAACATGACGAAACTCCATCTCTACTAAAAATGCAAAACATAGCTGGGCATGGTGATGCATGGCTGTAATCCCAGCTACTCGGAAGGCTGAACCATGAGAATTGCTTGAACCCAATAGGCAGCAGTTGCAGTGAGCCGAGACTGCACCACCTCACTCCAGTCTGGGCGACAGAGCAAGGCTCTGTCTCAAAACAAACAAACAAACAAATAAAACACTAGTAATAAAGTAGTTTAAATATTACCACCACAACTGTTTTATAAGATGGCAAACTAAACCACATCAAACTTATGCCTGCCAAGTTTTGTTTTAGTAGTAAATCCATTCCTGGAGTAATCATAGAGCAAACAGACACATGAGAAATAGAAATTTATTATCTCACAGTTCTAGAGGCTAGAAGCTTAAAATCAAGGTATCGGCAGGACGATGCCCTTTGTGAAGGCTCTAGGGGAGGGTCCTTCCTTGCCTCTTCCTAGCGTCTGGTTGTTGCCGGCCATCCTTGGCATTCTTTGGCTTGTAGACGCATCACCCCATCTCTGCCTCTGCTGTCACATCGCATTCTTCTTGTCTCTATTTCTCTCTTCTTATAAGGACACCAGTCACTAAACTAGGGCCCACCTTAATGAATCAAATATGACCTCATTTTAAATTGATTGCATGTCAAAGACCCTATTTCCAAATAAGGTCACATTTAGAGGTATCTAGGGTTAGGATTTCAACATATATTTGGGAGAGGGTGCACAATTCAACCCACAACAGTGGGTATAAATGTCTTCTTGTCTTCCTTGGGTGTACAGGTGCGGATGGCAGAAAGAGAAAGATCGCTCTCCACTAACTCTAGTGGAAGTCTCCATGTTGAACCTTGATACACTTTTTACCAATAGACTCTGATTTAAATACTGTTACTACAGAGTTAAACACAGTTTCAGCTCTTGAGCAGGCTTTTGATAGAAAAACTAGGTAGATATACACCATATATAATAGTGTTTACCAATCAATCAATAAAAGGGGCTCCAAGTTCAAACAAACTACCTTACAAACTAAATTTTAGCAACCAATTCATTTGAAATTTAGGAATTGCCTATAATTTTGACCATTCTTCATTTTTCTCTCTTTTTTCTAAGGGAAAAGGGTCTGTTATTTAATATATACTATTTATAAATGCTACAGGAATTTACAATAATCCCTGAACTCAGTGGTTAGCAACTAGTACTAACCAATCCTAAGGAATGGTGATGATGACGATGATGATGATGCTGCTGATAATGACAGCAATAAATCTAAGCAGATATTTCTAAAAATGCAAGAGCTTTCTATTTTTATAAGTAACTTTGTAAAAGTAGATAAATACATTCAAGTGTTTATTATTTCTTACATAATAAGTACAGATAGAGATCTGGAGCTTATTTTAAAAATAAAAAAAAGCAAAGCTCAAAATAAATATATTCAGTAGAGAACAATAGTCTTGTAACAATGTAGCCTTTAGCAGAGCACCTTGAAGTGATGAATCATTATCCTTGATGATCTTAAACAAGTTTACATATAATTAGAGAGACATGGAAGTTAGGGGGCTGGTATTGCTGTTTTACCCAAAAACCTAGCACCAGACATTTAATAAACATTCAGAGATTGTACTCATATTATGTAAGGATTACAACTATCCTAACAGAAAAAAAAAAACTCTAGTCAAACTGTAAAATGATTTTTCACTTCCGATTCTGAGTCACTTATTGAAAATAGCAGGCCAAAAATAAAAGCACACAATCAGGAAAGGAATCAAGCTAATTTTGTTTTTTATATATATATATGTATATAAATATATACACACACACACACACACACACAAACTCCTTATTTCCAGAGTAGAAGTCCATTCTTTGTCACTCTCTCCTTCTCCCTCTCCTTATATATATAGAGAGAATCTTTATATATATACTTATACATATATTAAGTATATAATTCATACATATGTATAATTTGAGTAAAGTTTGTCAGGAATATTCATAAATATGCAGTGATAATGTATTTAGGTTTTTTGGGTTGTGTGTGTGTTTGTTTGTTTATTTGTTTGTTTTTTTTCTGAGACGGAGTCTCGCTCTGTCACCCAGGCTCCCAGTCTGGAGTGCAGTGGCATGATCTTGGCTCACTGCAACCTCTGCCTCCTGGGTTCAAGCAATTCTTCTGCCTCAGCCTCCAAGCAGCTGAGATTACAGGCATGTGCCATCATGCCCAGCTAATTTTTGTATTTTTAGTAGAGACGGGTTTCACCATGTTGGCCAGGCTGGTCTCAAACTCCCAACCTCAAGCAATCTGCCCGCCTTGGCCTTGGGATTACAGGCATGAGCCACTGTGCCCGTCCAGTTTTTAGCTTTATTATTAATACTTAAACTTTCTAGGGACCAAATTTCATTTAAAATTATCTAGTAGAAGAATCTTTGGGGTTATATGTTATTTGATACATACTACTCTTTTATTCTAAAAAAATGAAAATCAAACAGAACTACCATTTCCCAAAATCCTGGCTGCTTATTGCTAGTACCCTATACCTATTAGGCATAACCTTGCTTGATTCCAATATCTGGCTGTTCCTCTCTAATCTAAACACTGAAATGTCTTACTACTTCAACCCTCTATTCCTCAGTATCTAATCCTGGGTTCCCATCCCTACTGCTTTTCTCTTGAGACTTGACATGATTAAGACCCGATGTGCTCAGCTTCATGTGATCACTTCTCCAATGGAATAAAGTGCAGGTAAGCAATTATCTTAGACCAAAGGAACAAAATAAAACAAAACAGAACTCTTCCTTAGCAGAAGCAACTGTAATTGCAAGATTTGAATTTACCAAGTGATGCTTCAGCTGTGTCCATCCCTCTTCTTACTCACTTACCCTCTATTCTGATCACTTTGTTACCATGGCCTAGGAGCCCAATCACAATTACATCTCCAAGGGGTGAGTACCATTCTTCCTGGGTTGCTTGGATGCTACTGCTCAGCCTACAAGCCCCATGTTACTAGGCTTTGAAACAGGTTCTATCTATTTCCTCCATTCTGTTCTAAACCCACTGAAAAAACCTCTGATATATAGATAAGGGTATAAAAACCTCTCTTCCCTATGAATTCTAGAAGATGCCAAACCTCCAAAAATATATACTAGTTTTCCTTAAATCCCGCAGGTTTAAATAGCTCTATCCCTTCAGCTACCAATTCTGTCTGATTCATAAATTTTATTTTGCCTGTTTTGCACAGAAGCTCTCTGTTGCTGTCACCATAACTCATCAAATCTGCAGGCACTGACTCCAATAAATATCATTTATCCACAGAGCCCATGGATCAAGTCTCAGCCAGATTTCCTAACCCGTTTGGTGTTCCTGCTTCTGTGGAATGAAAGAGGAGCCACAATGGTTTGGTGAATTGGTCAAGTCTGGAAAAATTAGTGCACGTCACACCAAGAAGGTAAGGAGCTTGTAGAAAATTCAGTACCACTTTGCTCAGAGAAATTTAAGAAAAAATCAACTCAGTAGCAATAAATATAATGCTGTTTCTTTGGATCCCTTACATGTGAGAGACCAAGAATCCAAATGGAGGCAGAAATGGGATAGGATGGTCAAATCTCAAGAAAGCCATGATAGTCTTAGAGCACACCTCTATAAGCCTGAATCCCTGGCATGATCTAATAGTTGGAAAACTCTGCTTGAGTATCACTAGGCAAGCAGGACCTTTGCCCACAGACTAGCGTGCTCAAATGTACAAGGTCAGTGATAAATAATATCTAGAGAATGATGCCAACTAAAGTGTTTCTTCTCAAACAGGTCTGAAATTGCTTACAATTGAAAATACATACCATCTAAATATAGTCCTATATGTAGATAGACATATCATTGTTAAAGTGAAGAAATAAAATCTATTAGTGAAATTATTACCAGTCTTTGCCATGTCCAATCTCATAGTTCTGGCCACTTGCCTTGGCATGATGGATGGAGCTTATAATGGAAGAATTATATCCACCAAGAAGCATTGTATTATAAGCTTGATGCAAGAGCAACTTTCCTCACTTGGAAAATTAAATTATCTGAATTAGCAGCCACCAGCCTGTTGGGAGGGTAGTGTAGAAGGACATTACTCATTAAGAACAGATAATGACATAATCACAACTACTGGCTCTACAAATGCTATAGAAACAGATTTTCCTTTTTAATTCACCTCTCCCTGCTAATGAAACTGAACATGATAGGCATTATTTCTTGTCAACACCCGTGGTGTTGAGCTTTGGCCATATGTGGAAAGACTAATATTTATAAATAATGTTGAATGAGCTGTAGCACCACATGATAATTACATTCTGAAAACTGAGTTTATGCTAACGTGGGATAACCATGACACTCAAAGAGCTGCCTTAGGTAAATATACAACCCAGCAGCTGTCTGTTCACATCTCCACACTATGAGGCAAAAAAAAAAAAAAAAAATCCCATTGCTAATCAACAACAGAAGTTACACATAAACAGTGCTTATTATACATGAGTTTAATATATGATAAAGATCACAAATTAGTGCAGAAAAGAAGTAATACACAATAAACAATGCTGTTATAAATGTGCACATCTGCAGCTCATAGATTTCAGATGGATAATAGTTATATGTAGAAATCAAACTTGATAATGCCTATAGGAATATATAAAGAATTATACATAAAAAATGTGCCATGGGAAAAGGTTATGAAACTAATCTTAAAAGTCTTGGAAGAGTTTTTGAAGTTTTTGAAGATTAATACATTTAACCCCATAAAACTGTTAAAGTTCCATATTCCCTAAAAGTGCAAAATCAAGAAATAAAAGGCAAATATAAATGGGAAAATATACAGCAAATATGACTGAAAAGGAGTTGATATATCCATAGAATGCACAGATTGGTAAGAAAAACCCTAAAATTTCAATAAATAAATCATAAGTGACAGCAGTAGGTAATTCACAAAGCGAAAAAGGCAAACAGCTAACAAACATATTGAAAAATGTTAAATCCCACTTATCAAAAAATAAAAATTTGAATGATTATTTTTTGCCTACCCAATTAGCAATAATTTTTAAAAAGAATATTCAATTCTACTTCACCACTATTAGAATTAGTAGAAAAGAATCAAACAGAGGAAATGAGACATGCTGATCATAAGGGGAAAATATTTAAGGATCTCCTCCGGCAAAAGGAGAAATGCCATAGGGAATTAACTACCTTCTGTCACACTCTAAGCAGTGCTGATGTCAGAGGTCCTGTTTTGTTTCCATCTACAATCCTAGGTCTCCTTCCCTCAGATGTATGTTCTGGACCTTGCCTTTCAAATCCATAACCATCAAGCCTTATCCATGCTATACCTAATTGTCAGTTTTCCATGCTCTTTGACCTTAATACCTGATGTAGTATCTCCCAGTCATTTTGATGGAGTCCTAACCTCTGTTGGCTGTTCTGAACTTGACTCCTTTTCCTGCTTACATGATATATGCTCCTTCTATCTAATAGAATGCCCAGTCTTGGCCTCCTCTGCCCAACCTGACATGTTCCTATTCAAATTGTAGTATGGCATTATCCATACCATAGTGATAATAAAAGTAGCTAACTCTATTGTATACTTTCTATGATCAGGCATCATGTTAAATGCTTTACATACATTATTCAATTGAGTTTTTATAAGCCTCTGAGATGAGTAGGTACAAATATTTTTATTTTATCTATGACGGCTACAATAAGAGACTCGCCCAGTCTCACACAGCTGCTGATTGCAACCCAAATCCATTTGACTTCAAAGTGCTCCCTACAGCATCCCTGGGAACCAGGGGCTTTTACTACATAGAACACAGCTGAAGGCCACAATTTAAGTCACAGAATAAATCTCTATTATAGCAAACAATGTACATATAAAGCCCTACTGTATTTACAGCATCTAGCTGTAGGGAAATCAAGTATTTCCTGGAAAACAAGTCTGTACTGAAATAAACAGTCTTATATTATTTTTTATAAACCCTGTTATTTTCTATGGCTTTTCTAGAAATAGTAACTAACAGATTAAAACAAAAACAAACAAAAAATGCCATATTATCCCATAATACTGAAAGGCTACTGACTGGCGGGAGAGCATAGTCAACTATGAAACCAGATAGTAGTATGCCCAGATGTTGAGTGAAGCTTTTCCTATGCCTCCAGAACTGGCACAGGAGTTATAGATGAGGTCTACAGGCACTGGGTCTCCATATCTAAAGGGAAAGTCGTATTCCCCCAGAAATTACTAGTAGGTAAAACCAACTCTATCACTGACAGCCATTAACCCTACCCTCACAGTACATGTAAGAAGCCTGGGGAGGCAGAGGAGAGTGGTGAGAGTCCCCAGCCTTGGGTAGAGTATAGTGATGGCAGTAAGGAAATCTTTCTCCTCTCCCATAAAGCCACGTGTGTTCAGGGGAATGGGAATGCCCTGCTCCAGGAGAATACCCTGCAGATCTGCGGGTGGCTACGAGACAGGGAGCCCACCAGCATCTCACTACCCAGTGAGTAGAGCAGAGTGAAGCCCAGTGAGAGAGTTCTAGGGAGACCTTGGCCAGAAGATGGAGGCATACACTTGAACACAGAGACTTGTGCCCACTTTCGCTGCAGATTTGTGAAGGCAAGAGGCTTATTGGAGTAGTCCTGCAGCAGCACATCAAGGAAAAGGTATAGCATAGTATTCCTGGGAAGAAAAGGGTGTGTGGCATCTCCACCCTGGCTTCACAACAGAAGGTATGGAAGAAAATCTCAGTGGTTTCCATCAGACTACAACAAGGACTACAGAGCAGAGGAGGGACAAAAAGGAGTACCCAGACAGACAGGACAAACAAGGTGGCATCCTACCAAAGAGGGGACTGAAGGTAGGGACCACAGCAGTGCTGCCCCCCATCTCCCCCGCTAAGAAAGCCCTCATTGACAGAGGAGATCAGGTTGACCTGAACAAGAAATCATCACAAGAAGACCATTATATCAGCAAGTCCACCAGAAGCAGAGAGAACCAGAGTAACCGGAGTAAGACCCAGGGCACTTTCCCACAACTGGCAGGTGGCCAAGTGTCTAAGAGTTTGTTATCTCCTCTAAGCACCCCCTACCTGCCTCAATCCTGGACAACCTATGTGTACAGAGAGAAGGGGAGGAGAGATATCTTAGATGCAGTCTCTCTGTCTCTCACCCCCTCTCTTTCTCCATACCCGCTCCAATCCACTCTTTGGGTCCCGCAAGCAATAGGTTAAGGGAAGAATTTTAAATTGGATATGAGTTTGGAGTTTTAAACTGTATTGGATGGAACTTTGCTCATCAAAAATGACTGGAATGTCAGTGGTTGCTAGGAGTTACAGAGGAGGGAGGGATGAACAGGTAGAGTACACAGGATGTTTGGGGCTGTGAAAATACTCTATATGATACTATATTGGTAAATAAATGTCGTTTTATATTCGTCCAAACCCATAGAATGTACACCAAGAGTAAACATTAATGTAAACTATGGACTTTGGTTGATGATGTGTCAATGTAGGTTCATTGATTGTAACAAATGTACCACTTTGGTGGGAAATGTTGATAAGGAGGAAGCTATACAAGTGTCAGGGCAGGAGGCATATGGGAAATTACTGTATCTACCTCTCAGTTTTAATGTGATCCTAAAACTACTCTACAAAAATAAAGTCTTGGCTGGGCGCAGTGGCTTACACCTGTAATCCCAGCACTTTGGGAGGCCGGGGCAGATGGATTACTTGAGGTCAGGAGTTTGAGACCAGCCTAGCCAACATGGTGAAACCCCATCTCTACTAAAGACACAAAAATTAGCTGGGCATGGTGGTGGGCGCCTATAATCCCAGCTACTCAGGAGGCTGAGGCACGAGAATCGCTTGAACCTGGAGGCGGGTGTTGGTGTTGCAGTGAGCTGAGATTGTGCCACTGTACTCCAGCCTGGGTGATAGAGCAAGACTCAGTCTCAAAAATAAAAATAAAAAATAAAAAAATAAAGTATTTTAAAATGTGCCTGGCACGTGGTCAGCACTCAATTAATATTTATATAATAAATCAATGAATTGATGTCTTTTACGGAAAATTTAACCCAAAACAATACTTTTGTTTAGTGTCAATAAAGTATTATCGACATTTAAAAAAGGAATTAACTGTTGATATATACAACTATAAGGACTGACCTCAAAATCATTATGGCAAATCAAAGTCTCTCTCAGATTTTAAAAAATAGTTCATGCTGTATGATTCCATTCCTATAAAATTCTAGAAAATGCAAACTGCTCTATTGTAATAGAAAGCGTATCAGTGTCTGGGGGAAGGGGTGAAGGGAGAAATGGATTATAAAAGGGCACCAGGAAACTCGGAGAAATGGAAATGTTCATTATTTTGGTAGTAGTGATGTTTTCACAGGTGTAGACCTATTCAAAACCTATCAAATTGTATCCTTTAAATATGTGCAGTTTATTGTAAGTCATTTATATCTCAATTAAAAGTTAAAATATTTAATGATCAGAATGTTTGAGTACCTACTTAAGATGCCGGGAAAAGGAGAGTCTACAGAGTTTAGTAGAAAGAAGTGATGGAGAAAAAATTAAGTTCTTAATATATCCCAACTAAGTTGTCATTAAATAGGTTACATTCTAATACACTCTACTGAAAGGACTCATTTCAGAACCTTACCAAAAGTAACCCAATTTAGAGGACCGTGTGCAAGCATGGCTGGGGTGCACTCTAGTTTTCTCGTCTTCTTGTTTGAAAAATAAATTAGTTAATACAATTTCCCTTCTATGATATTCTGTCTGAAATCAAATCAAAGAAATAAGTCATATTTATGCACAGCAGATAAACTTGAAATGGGACCTACAACCCCCTTCCTTGTGAGTCATCTTAATAACTACAGAAAGCTGTGACCCGGTGTTTCCAGGAGAACCATCTCTCTGCTGTGCAGATGAGTCATGAGAAAACTGGCCAAGGATGCTTGACAGCTTCAAACCACCTCCCATGGAGCTGGCCATTTTCTTTCTGTTCATCCTTATTCTTTTTTTTCTCATATTTCTTTCCAAAATTCATTCTTATTTGAATTACGAATTAGTATAACAAGAATATCCTACCTACTACCCTAAGAAAAGGACAATAAGAACTTTCAAAAATTACTGTAACTACAGTGATTCAATTATGTTTCCTACTTATAAAAGTAAAATGGATTTTTTTTCCTCCACCAGAAAACAGTCCAGATTCCCAACAGTCTCCAGTCTTAGTTTGATACCATAATTGCCATAAATAAATTTCTTACGCACTAAAACCAGTTTTGCCCTTTTCCCAGGAGGCTTTTGTAAAGCTCAACATAAATTCAGCTATCTCATATGATGCAATTGTGATTTAGGAAAAGCAAAGACCATCATCAATACACAGTTTCATCCTCCCACACCCACAGCCCAATCTAACTGCCGCCAAGTCCCCAAACCCTGAAACTCCCACCCACAAGCTGCCAAACCCTCTGGTTGCCCTATCACTGGCAGATGCTACGATGCTCTGTCAGTAAAAGGTTTGTGAGAAACTGAAAAGTGTACAAAATCAAACAGAATGCAGAGACATTTTTACTGAATTTAGTATTTTGGGATTCTAGAATACTTAATGTTTAAGAATTGAAAGATTTGAGGATCCATAGCCCTGTGTTTCTGTATTTGGCGACTGCAAAATAGTTACTACCTGGTTACCCCAAAAGGAATGAGAGATGGCAGTTTGTGAAGACTTTGAACTTGCCCCATGAAAAGCATCATATACATACAACTCTGTAAATATAAAATAATTTCGGTCACTGGGAGGCTGGCATCTGCCATGGTCATTATTCTACATTTAAGCAGTGCAGTGAATACTCATAAGTAGAGTGATGTCATTCTGCCTAGGGGGAAGCCGTATTCCACTGTCATCACGCATAATAGATCGAGCTGTGCTTAAGGTGGCTTAGTGACATAGCAAACTGAAATGCCATGACCATGGTCATATTAATCCTAAAGAACTCACTAAGGGCCTTCACCAAATCCTGTAATTTTTATTTCATGCTGAAAAGCAATCCTGATACTCTGAGCCCCTCATTTTACATATGGGAAAACTAAGGCCCAGGAATTTTAAAGATTTACCTGCATCAAGTAATCAGATAGCAAGATTACCTAAAATCTAGACTTTTAAATTCCTAGCCTTGCACTCTCCTCACCCCCTTTCTCTGTTGCCTAGTGTAATACAAACCCACTGTTTCCACAGACACTTTTCCCATCCAAGTCTCACCTCTGTGCTACTACTCATATACCTCAAATTATCAAAGCTGCCTCTGATTGCTTGAGCTGAATGAACATCTCTTTTTCCGATTCCTAGCACAATCCTTGCTGGCACAGCACTGCCTTCTCTTAATTTTGATGTGAACCTAAAACTGTTCTGAAAAAATAGACTTAAAAAAAGTACCTGGCATATGGTTGGCACTCAATTAATATTTGTAAAATAAATCAATGAATAGGTGTCTTTTATGCAAAAATCAACCAAAAACAATAGTTTTGTTTAATTAGTTTCAATAAAGTACTATCAACATTAAAAAAAGGAATGACCTATTGATATATACAACTATAAGGACTTATCTCAAAATCATTATGGTAAATCAAAGTCTCAGATTTTAAAAAATAGTACATGCTGTATGATTCAGTTCTTTTATTTTATTTTTCCGTAAGTTATTGGGGTACAGGTGGTATTTGATTACATGAGTAAGTTCTTTAGTGGTGATTTGTGAGATTTTGGTGCACCCATCACCCGAGCAGTATACACTGCACCATATTTGTAGTCTTTTATCCCTCGCCCCCTCCCACTCTTCCCCCCAAGTCCCCAAAGTCCATTGTATCATTCTTATGCCTTTGTATCTCATAGTTTAGTCCCCACATATCAGTGAGAACATACAATGTTTGGTTTTTCATTCCTGAGTTACATCTCTTAGGATAATAATAGTCCCCAATATCATCCAGGTCACTGCATCACTGCAAATGCTGTTAATTCATTCCTTTTGTGGCTGCATAGTATTCCATCACATATATATATATATCACAGTTTCTTTATCCACTCATCGATTGATGGGTATTTGGGTTGCTTCCACGATTTTGCAATTGTGAATTGTGCTGCTATAAACATGCACGTGCAAGTATCTTTTTCAAATAATGACTTTTTTTCCTCTGGGTAGATACCCAGTAGTGGGATTGCTGGATCAAATGGTAGTTCTACTTTTAGTTGTATGATTCAATTTCTATAAAATTCTAGAAAATGCAAACTGCTCTATTGCAATAGAAAGCATATCAGTGTCTGGGGAAAGAAGTGAAGGGAGAAATGGATTACAAAGGGCACCAGGAAACTCAGAGGAATGGAAATGTTCATTATTTTGATGGTAGCGATGGTAGTGTTTAAGACCCTTCCCCTTAAAGCTTGGGTTTCTTCTCCTTCCTAACTGCTACCCCTGCCTAGAATTTTACTCCACCCAGCCCCAGCATCCCATTCTCTTGATTCCTGAGCCCCAGCTCCCTCAATCAACACTTACTCTGAAACCTTATGTACTGCAGTATTATATTCACTTTTTGTTTTATTTCTATTCTATTGTACTGTAACAAATTACTACAAATCCAGTAGCTTAAGACAACACAAATCTATTATTTTAGAGTTCTGTAGCTCAGAAACCCAACATGGGTCTCACTGTACTAAAATCAACGTGTCGGTAGGGCTGCATTCCCTTCTGGAAGCTTTGGAGAGAGTCACTGACTTGCCTTGTCCATCTTCTAGAGGCAACCCACATTCTTTTTCTCCATCTTCAAAATCAGCAACATAACATCTCTCCAACCCTGCTTTATTATCACATCTCTTTGACTGTCTTCTTCTCCTCCCTCTTCTGCTTTTAAGGCCTCTTGTGATTAAACTAGGCCCCCCAGAATAACCCATGATAATCTCCTTAGTTTAAGGTCAGCTGATTAGCAACCTTAATTCCTGTTGCCATGTAAACCAATATATTTACAGGCTCTGGAGATGAGGGAGTGAATATTTTGGGGGAGCCATAATTCTGTCTAGACAAGTGTCACTTCTCAATGTTTCCTCTTCCCTTCTGGACACTCTCCTCATCCCTACACACCCCCATCCCTGATCTAGGGAAGAATGGATTCTGGACTGACTGAATCCCCAAATGATCACTGGGGCCCATCTTGTCCCATCTACTCTCCTCAAAGGTCTGGGAGGGCCACCGGCCAGGCCACCCCATGGTCTTCTATCTGCCTGAACTTCCTAGAAACAGGTAGGGCAGAAGACACTAGAATAAGTAAAAGAAAGTTGGGACACAGTGTAAAATTCAAGGACCCAGAAAGACCAGTACACACAGTGCTATTGCTGAGGCTGGTCTTGGTCCTGATCAAACACAACATGAACACACAGGCCACTGAGCATGTGTGTTGAGACTTCAACAGGAAATTCCTTAGGAACAGCCTTCATAGGCAAAATTATAAAAATCAATTGCATTGTCAGATCATCTACATTTTGCTTTAGGAAAAAAAAATAAAAAATAAAAATCCCAACTCAGACAGCTGTGAAACATGTTATGGAATCAGCCCTAGAGAGTCCTAGTAACCACCGTGAAAGACTTCCTTGTTTTTTATTATTATACTTTAAGTTCTGGGATACATGTGCAGAACCTACAGGTTTGTTACATAGGTATACACGTGCCATGGTGGTTTGCTGCACCCATCAACCTGTCATCTACATTAGGTATTTCTCCTGATGCTATCCCTCCCCTGCCCTCCCCCACTCCCCGACAGGTCTCGGTGTGTGATGTTTCCTTCCCTGTGTCCATGTGTTCTCATTGTTCAACTCCTAGTTATGAGTGAGAACATGTGGTGTTTGGTTTTCTGTTCCTGTGTTAGTTTGCCGAGAATGATGGTTTCCAGCTTCACCCATATCGCTGCAAAGGACATGAACTCATCCTTTTTCATAGCTGCATAGTACTCCATGGTATATATGTGCCACATTTTCTTTATCCAGTCTATCACTGATGAGCATTTGGGTCGGTTCCAAGTCTTTCCTATTGTGAATAGTGCTGCAATAAACATACATGTGCATGTGTCTTTATAGTGGAATGATTTATAATCCTTTGGGTATATACCCAGTAATGGGATTGCTGGGTCAAATGGTTTAAACTTCTAAACAAAGATTTAAGGGAAGTTACAGAGATAGATCAGAAAGGTCCCCCATGCCCTTTGCCCAGTTCACCAGTGGTTGTATCCTACATAACTAAAGTACAATATCAAAATTAGGAAACTGACATTTGCACAACATGTGTGTATAACTCTATGCCATAAGACTTAACATTTTTAAAAATATAACTGGACAAATGTATATTCCGATATCCACCACTCAGTCAGAATCCTACAAAGATGGTAGCAGCACTCCATACAACTTGTGGATTCACCTCCTACCAAGAGGTCTACATTGGGTGGCTTTTAAGGAGTGACACAACCTTAAGGTCAAGTAGTCAAGTATACAGTAAAGCACAGAGAACTTGACAAGAACCTACACCAGAATTGTGAAACCACCACCACAGACACTTCCCCTGCCCTGCTGGGAGCTCAGTCCTCATGGCACACCTGCTCAAATGAGGAAATGCTTTTTAAACATTTTGATATGGTTTTCCTCAGTGTACGGGAACTCTTTAAACTCTCTCTTTAGAGAGAGCAGATTGAATTACCATCTCAGGAGTACATTTCTCTCCATCACAGGCATGAACTCAAGAAAAATCCTCTCAATCAGCCCCACAAAATATCAGAAAATGTTAGACCTACAATCGCCCGTAAAGACTTTCTAGTTTGGTTGAATCCTTTTATTTACAGATGAGAAAACTGAAATCTGGGGAGTGGAGAGATCACTAATCACTTAGTCATAAGCTAGCTAGTGGTTGTTCTAGAATTAGAACCTGAGTCTTCTAATCCCCAAGTTGGCACATTTCTTAGTATTGAAACCGCCTTTGCAAAAATTATAACTGAGGAAATTATGACAATGGAAGAGATCAGATCTAACCAACTTCATCTTCCTTCTAACCTTTAAGCTGTCCTTGTTCATTCCTGGGCAGAGGCCGAACTAACCTTGGGAAAATTGATAGTAGCCCTTTCCCCTCCCCCAGAAAACCTTCTTGCCTGGGGACCAGCCTGCCTTTGTAGAACTAACAAATTAGCTACAAGATTAGAAGTTATGGTTTAGGAGTCATGCAGCCTCCAGCTGCAAGTCTGAACCTCTCCAAATTGCTCCTGGAAATAACATCACTATTGTAAAACCTAAGATCAGTGCTTGAGATATTTTGCAGACCCTGCACTCAGTGCACCAGCTGACACCATCCAGAATAGTAATCTGGCTCAACCAGTTCTGCAATCCCATCCAGGAATGGATGACAGCAAGAGGGAGTCACTTCGACCCCCTATGATTCCATCTCCAACCTGACCAATCAGCACTACCCACTTCCCAAGCACCTAGCCGCCAAGCTCTCCTTAAAAACTCTAATCCCCAAATGCTCTCAGAGAGACTGATTTGAGTAATAATAAAACTCCAGTCTCCTGCAGAGCCAGCTCTGCCTAAGTTACTCTTTCTCCATTGCAGTTTTCCCATCTTGATAAATCAGCTCTGTCAAGGCAGTGGGCAAGATTAACCTTTTGGGCAGTTACAGTATCCATATTATCTATCTTCAAATATATACTCCTGAAATTTTAACATGATTTTTGTTGAGATTTCAAGAGCGTGCATTTGAAGATAGCTAAAAAAAGGAATAACACTATGAGATGCACAATACCATGTGCAATGAATTTGAGTGGCACAGAAATTGTTAGGACACTGGTAAAGAGACTATTGAAATATACCAAAGAATATATATCATGTTGGCTTCAACTCAAGTGATGGCAATACAATTGAAAAGAAGCAAAAGAATTCAAGACATATTGTGGAAGTAGAATCAGAATCAGCTCAACTCTGTCATCTGGATCATCAGTTACAAATTTCTGAATCTTCCAGGAAAGTCTAAGCATTCAGTCTATGACCATGAAACAGACCAAGGGTGAGTAAGAAATCTGCCCTCATTGTCACTGTCATTATTAGGACCCACCAACACTGCTTAGTTCAGACTGTTCCACTTATCTTGGCAAAAAACACCTACTTCTTTCACACATTTACAGACATAACTTCTCCCATGCACTTAGACAGCTTCCTACCTAAAAAATTGACATACATATTGTGCCCCAGGATTAGGCTCAATTGAGCACTTGGCATTGGAGTATTGCCCGTCTCTGTCTATATCCACTCTGCCATATCTTTCTGTTAGATCTACTCATAAGTTCAAGTCATCCCAGGTTTAGTTGCACATTAAAAGCTTATTACCCTGTGTTTCCAGAAAGGCAAAGCAGTAGCAGCACCCCTGCTGCTCGTGTAAATATGGAATTATCTAGGCTGGTTCATGGATCTACCCCTGCTACCCAAGATCCTCCAGTTCCCTGAAGGAACTAGAATCCAACCCTGAAAACCTAACCTGTCAGCCAGGGGAAGCTGACCTCTTGTCTAATGTCTGTAGCCTTGTGCTGAGACTGGTTTTCCACACCTCTCACTTTGTCTCCCACACTCCTCCCAGGCTGGCAACCCAGACATGCATTGACACCTAGAACCATTGCTGACCCAAGACCCTTTTTTGCTCTCTGTGTGCTTCTCTTGGATTGGATACTGGAACAGATGAGAGTTAGTTTTGCCACATTCCCCTAGGCTTAGTTTTGGTCTTCCCATAGGGGAAAGTCAGCCTGGTTTGTTTACTTCAAATGATAAAGGAAAAAGAGAATGGGAAACTCTCAAGTACTGCTAATTGAAATGTAAATGCATGCATCCACTCTGAAGAGAAATTTAGCAAAATCTTGAGAAGTTAAAGATGCATGTATCCTGTAATCCTACTCCCAGGTATATGTCCTCAGAGAAATAAATGATATGGTCACAATAAATAAATACAAGATTGTTCATAGCCACTTTATTCTTAATAGGAAAAATTTTAAATAACCCAAATATTCAATAGAAGAATGTATAAACAAACTGTGGTGTAGTTATAAAATAGAATATTACCCAGCATTTAAAAAAAAACTTACGAATATACACAATAATATTGATGGCTCTTAGAAATACTATGTTGAGCAAAAAACATAAGACTCAAAGTGTACATACTGTGTGATTCCATTTAAGAACAGGCAAAACTAATCAAAGTAGTGGTTAACTCTGGCAGGATGTGGAGATTGGGGCTTATGACTGGAATAGGACATAAGGAAACTTTCCGGGGTGATAAAAATATTCTATTTGTATCTGGGTGGTGGTCACTTGGTCTTATACATGTGTGAAAAGTCATCAGGTTGTACACTTACAATTTGTGTGTTTTACTGTATCTAAATTATACCCCAAAGGTATAAAACAAAAGCAAGTAACATCGATATGTTATCAATATGTTTTAAATAGAGATAAGCAAAAGGAGTGAATAAAATCATTCACTTCCCACCGTTCAGATATAACTACTAAGTGATTTTTGTAGTTACGTTTTTTTAATTTTATAAATCATATTGCTTTTTAAATCAGCTCTTTTCTATTTAACATCATCATTTAATTGTTTTATAAGAAGTGATCTTCAAACTTTCTAGCAGCAGAAATCTTTCCTGAAACAAAATTTTATGTGAGCCCCCAACATACAGATATTGTTCCAGTGAGAACATATTTAGGAAGTCCTGCTCTTCCTGTTCTTTGCCCTCCTCTGGCAGCCTCTGAGCCATCATAATGGTACCAGGTAGTCTGAAAATCACTGTCTCCATTTCATTTTTAATAACTGGATTCCAGTTCATGAGTGACCCACAATTTAACTCTGAGAATAACAAAAATGTCAACATCTTGAGTATTCAAAGCCTCTTCTTTATTTTCCACCCTTGAAGGAAATCCTGCAGTTGTCTGATCAGAATTGACTCCATTCACCCAGTTCACCCCAAATATCCCTCAAAAGGGATTGTTTTGTCCAATTCAGTACTAAAGAATGTAAAAAGAAATGTTTTAGGTAGTCTTTTTGACATGAAGCCAAAGAGACTCTGTGAGGTCTTACACTAGAGGGAAAGTATTAGCAGCTAGAAAACAGACACAGGAAACGGAAAGTTGACGAGGAAGACGATAATGCTGGGTGCAAGAAAGAATTTGATATAAATTTTGGACAAAAGTAATAGAATTGGAAGCAGCTGCAAAGAACAGGAAAGATACTGGGAGTTAGAGGTATTTGACATTGTCAAATACAGTTGGATAAGGAAAGCTCCAAAATGCTTCTCCTCTTTTTTTTCCATCCAAAATCAATTTTTCTTTATTAATTTATGAAGTACATTGTGTATCATTGCTTGAATCTGATTGCATTTCCATGACTTAAAATTTTTTAATTTTATTCTTAATCGACAAATGATAATTGTATATATGGGGTTCAATGTGATGTTTCTATATATGTATACATTGTGGCAGGATTAAATAAAGGTAATTAATAAATCCATCACCTCATATATTTACCATTTTTGTGGTGAAAACATTTAAAATCTACTCTTTTAGCAATTTTGAAATACACATGGCATTATTAATTATTATAGTCACTATTCTGTGCTATAGATCACTAAAGCTCATTCCTCCTAACTAAAACTTGGTACCCTTTTATCAACATCTCCCCTTTCCCCATCCACCTCTGTCTCCCACGCCCTTGGTAACCAGCATTCTACTCCTATGAGTTCAACTTTTTTAGATTCCACATGTGAGATAATACAGTGTTTGCCTTTCTGTACCTGGCTCATTTCACTTAGCATAATGTCCTCCAGGCTCATGCATGTTACCACAAATGACAGAATTTTCTTTTTTAAGGCTGAACAGTATTCCATTGCATATGTACAATACCATATTTTCTTTATCCACTCATCTGATGATGGACACATAGGTTGCTTTCATATCTTGGCTATTGTGAATAATGCTGCAATAACTGGGGAGTGCAGACATCTCTTCAGCATACTGATTTCAGTTCCTTTGGATATATACCCAGAAAAGGACTGCTGGATCACATAGTAATTCTATTTTTAGTTTTTTGAGGAACCTCCATAACATTTTCCATAATGGTGATACTAATTTACATTTCTTGCAACAGCACCCAGGGGTTCCCTTTTCTCCACATCTTTGCCAACACTTATCTTTCATCTTTTTTATAACAGCCATTTTAGCAAGTGTAATGTAATAGCTCATTGTAGTTTTAATTTGCATTTCTCTGATCTGAGCATTTTTTCATGTATAACTGTTGGCCATACAATGCTTTTTCTAAGATAACTGTTAACTAGTGCTCACTCAAGTTTTTATAATGCAGCATTTTTCCTGCTGATTTAAAATGAATTTATAACATAACTTGTTGTATGTTAATGTTATATACACTTGTGACTCTTTCTAGACTTTTAATTCTATTGCTGTGATCTACCTGTCTACTTCTAAACCAGTTCTAAGTAGAACAAATTACTACAGCTTTGTAACATTTTAATAACTTATAGGACAAGTCTCCCTTCATCACTTTTTAAAATATTTTCATTAGATATATTTTACTTTTTTGAATGTTTGCAACTCCATCTAAACTTTAGAATCATGTTGCCAAATTTTCAACATCTGTCATTGGTTACAATTAATTTGGTTACAATTTAATTTGTAGAGGAATTTAGAGAAAATTTACACTTTCATAATTTTGAGTCTTTTCATCCAGAAATATGGTCTGTCTCTCCACTTATTGAAGTCTCCTCTTATCCCTTAGAAAGTATTGTTGCTTTTTTCATATAGTTCAGCACATTTTCTGCTAAGTTAATTCCCAGGTTTCTGTATTTTTAATTGTGATTGTGAAAGGGATATTTTTTCCATTACATTCTCTAGCTGGTTTTTGTTTTCTAAGAATGCTACTATACACACACACACACACACACGTATATACATACATGTGTATATGCATATGTACATATGTATGTATATGTGTGTACATACATACATAACCAGATAGCCTACCAAAAATTCATATTAGCCCTAAAACCTCTTCATTTGATAACCTTATATATTCTAAATATTTTCTAGGTTATAATAATTGCATCCCTTCTTTCCAATATTTATACTTATTCTTAGTTTAAAATAATAGCTAGGAACCGCCATAATGGCATTAAATATTTTCAGTGATATTTGGCACCTCTAATGGAATGCTCCTAAGGTTTCATCATTAAGTAAGATGTTTATTCTGAGTTTCTTATAAATAGTATGTTAAGAAAATCTACTTTTGGTCCTACCTTACTGGCAGTTTGAATTAATTAACATAAAATATATTTTACTAAATGCCTTTCGGGCATCATGTTTGTTCCTCTTTTAGCTCATTAAATGTAGGTAATTACATTAATAAATTTTGTGTTTATCCAAAAATCCTGAATTAAACCCTACATTGTACAGTTATGATATAATATATTTAATATTGTATAGAAATCAATTTTTATATTTCTATGGAATATTTACATCTATTTTCATAAGTGAGATTGATATAGTTGCATATGTGTGTTTGTATGGGCATGCTAGTTTGGTCAGATTTGGATATCAGAATTATGCCTGCTTCAAAAAAACTGAATTGAGAAAATTTCTGCATATTTCTAATATTCAAAATATCTACTTAATAAAAGAGATATCTGCTCCTTGAACATTTTTAGGAATTATCCACAAAAATCATCAGTCTAACATTTTCTGGATAGAATAGATCTTCAACAATCTTTACAATTTCTTGTATAATTGCTGGTGTATGCAGATCTTAATTACTTTTAGAAATTTGATTGTGTATGTGTGTGTGTGTGTGTGTGTGTCTCTACAACCTGGAGGTAGTCTCCAAGACTTCCAGTGAAAGTGATAATGAAGCTTGAATTTGGGATGCTTCACACACAAATCTTGCTCTGTCTCTAAACTTTCTTAAGAAATTAGAAAAAGAAGACCAAACTGAACCAAAAATAAGTAAAGATAAGGGCAGAAAGCAGCCAAATAGAGACAATAGAGAAAATTAACAAAGCCAAGTTTGTTCTTTGAAAAGTATAATAAACTTGATCAACCCCTAACAAAACTGATAAGGAAAATCATCCATTTATCATGACTTTCAGATCCATTAGTTAAAGATGAGTGTTATGTTCATATGCAATTTCTTATCTCCCTTGTATCTGTGGTTTCATGCCTATTTCCAGTCTTATTTTTGTGTCTGTTTTTCTTCTTTGATTTGCCTTATTTATCTCAACATACAAAATGGACTTACCATTCCATTCTCTGCGTTTACCAATTCTGTAACTTATGCATTTAATTTTGTTAGTTTTCACATCCTACATTCTCAATTATATTCACTGTTCTATTTCTTCTTTTTTTTTCTTCAAGTTCCAGGGTACATGTGCAGGATATGCAGGTTTGTTACACAGGTGTACTGTGGTATTTTGCTGCACAGATCAACCCATCACCTAGGTATTAAGCCCAGCATCCATTAGCTATTCTTCCTGATGCTTTCTCTCCCCTGACCCCACCCCTAATAGGCCCCAGTGTGTGTTGTTTCCCACCATGTGTACATGTGCTCCCGCTTATAAGTGAGAACATCCGGTGTTTGGTTTTCTGTTCCTGCTTTAGTTTGCTGAGGACAACGGCTTCCAGTGCTATCCATGTCTCTGCAAAGGACATGATCTCATTCCTTTTTATGGCTGCATAGTATTCCATGGTGTATATATACCACATTGATCCTAATTTCTTTATTCATTCTTCTCATTTCTCATCTTTAATATCAAAATATGTTTAAGGCTACAAATCTGCTCTGAATACTACTTTGGCCATACTTATAAGGTTTTTTTTTTAATAGGCTTTTTTAGAATTGTATTTCTATTGATAAATAATAGTTGTACATATTTTGGGAGTACCTGTGATATTTTTATACCAATATACCATGTGTGGTGATCAAATCAGGGTAATTGGAATATCTATCATTGCAAACATTTATCTTTTGTGTTGGGAACATTACAAGTCTTCTCTTCTAGCTATTTTGAAATATACAAGTTATTGTTAACTATAGTAATCCTATTGTGCAAACACCAGAACTTATTCCTCCTATCTAACTATATTTTTGTACCCCTTAACCAATTTCTCTTTATCTCCCCTACCCCTCAGTCTCTGGTAATCACCATTCTACTCTCTACCTCAATGAACATACTCTACATTTTTAGTAGTAATTTTCATGTCATTAATGTATACATTTTCTCTTGGCCCCAAAAAGTGATTTAAGAGAGTGTCTGTTAAAATATTCAAGAATTTATGGGGTTTTTTTGCTCTTGTTTGTTAACCATTAACCATCAATTTCAAATTTTTATAACGTAGTCAGAAACTGTGGCCTCTATATTTTCTGCTTTTGGAAATTACAGTTTTCTATCTGGACTACCATATAATCATATTTTGTAAATGTTTAAAGTGGACACTGGGAAAGAATGTATATTGTCTCTTTGTAGGTTATAGAGTTTAATATTTACCACTGATTTTTATAGATCCTCATTTCTTTATATCCTTATTTTCATTATATCCTCATTCTGTCAATTACTGCGAGAGTTGTGTCAGAAATTTCTTGCAGTTACTGTGGTCACTGCAAATCCCTCCTGTATTTATAATAGTTTTGTTTATATATTTCAGATATAAATTTGTTTATATATTTCAGATATAAACATTTCTTATAAAGTATATCTTTATCAATACAAAATGCATTATCATTTCATTTAATGTTTCATGTAATGCTTTTGCCTTGAAATCTACTATGTCTGATAATAATATTGCTACCCATCTGTTTGTTCTTTACTACAATTTTTGCCCAAATTTTATTTTTAACCTTCTTAGATCATTGCTATAATGGCATATATAAAGCTGTTAGTTTTGTTTTTATAGAGGTAAAATATACATACTATGAAATGCCCAATCTTGAGTATACAATTCAAGTTCTGATAAATGTATATACCCATGCAACCACTATTCTGATCAAGAGATCAAAAACATCCACCACTCCAAAGTTACCACATACTACCATAGGCAACCACTGTTCGTTCTTCTATCAACATAAATTTTGCCTGTTCTAGAAGTTTATATAAATAGAATTATTCAATATGTACTCTTTTATGTCTGGCTTCTTTCACTCAATATGTTTTCATGATTTGCTCTTGTTGTTGCATATATCAGTATTACATACTTTTTTCTTCCTGAGTAGTAGTCTTTTATATGAATTATATCACAATTTATCTTCCTGCTTACAGACACTTCCTTTCAGTTTGAGGCTAGTATGAATAAAGTTGCAGTGAACATTCTTATACATGTCTTTTTGTGGGTATACATCTTCATTTCTTTTGGACAAATACCTAGAAGTAGAATTTCTGGGCCACAGCATAGGTATATGATTAAATTTAAGAGAAACTGAAAAAATATTTTCCAAAGTGAGGTACAATTTTATACCCTCATCAGAAGCTTCTCCAATTTTAGCCTTTCTAGTGGGTATAAAATGGTATCTCATAATTTTAATTGGCATTTTCCCAAAGACTAATGATATTGAGCAATTTCACAAATAGCATATTGACTATTTGTACATCTTCCTTGATGAGCTACATGTTCAAGTACTTTGCTCATTTTCTATTAAGTTGTTACTATTACTGATTTGTAGGAGTCTTTATTTATTCTGGACAAAAATCCTTTGTCTCCAATATATGTATTGCAAATATTTTCTCCCACTATCTTTTCCTTTTCCATTTTTGTTATGGTAACTTTTGATGAGCAAAAGTTTGTAATTCCAACTCATCACTTTTTTCCTTTCTGTTTAGTGCTATTTATGCCCTAAGAAATCTTTGCCTAACACAAATTTGTGAAGATATCCTCTTGCATTTTCTTCTAGCTTTATAGTTTTAATTTCACGTTTGGGTCTATAATTTATCTCTAAGTATTTTGTGGGTTTTGGTGTTGTCGTATAGAATTGTGTTATTCATTCCATTTTCCAATTGCTTGCTGCTGATTTATAAAAATACACTTTTTATATTGACCTTGTATCCTGCAGCCTTTCTAAATTCATTTATTAGTTCTAGTAGTTGTTTTGTAGATTCCTGAAGATTTTCTATGTAAAAAAATGATGTCTGTGAGAAAGAGGTGGTTGTACTTTCTTTCCAAGCTTTGTAGCTTTTATTAGGTTAGCGCAAAGTAATTGTGGTTTTTGCTAATATTTCTTTTTCTTGCCTCATTAGAACAGGTACGACCTCCAGTACAATATAGAATAGAAGTAGTAAGAAAGGATATCCATGCTTTGCTCTCAGTCACGGGGGAAGGCTTTTAATATTTCAGTGTTCAATATGATGCCACTATAGGTTTTGTAGATTTTTTTTTCAGGTTAAAAAATTTCATTCTTTTTTTTTTCTGCCTGAAGACAGGATCTCACTCTGTCACCCATGCTTACAAGCAGTCCACCTGACTCAGCTTCCCAAGTAGCTAAGACTACAGGCACGCACACCACCATGCCTGGAAAACTTTTGTTTGTTTGTAGGGACAGGATATTGCTATGTTGCCTAAACTGGTCTCTAACTCCTGGCGTCAAGTGATCTTCCTGCCTTTAGCCTCACAAAGTACTAGATAATATGGTTAGGCTTTGTGTCCCCACCCAAATCTCATATTGAATTGCAATCCCCAGGTGTTGAGGGAGAGACCTGGTGGGAGGTGGTTGGAGCTTGAGGATGTTTCCCCCCCATGCTGTTCTCATGATAGTGAGTGAGTTCTCATGAGATCTGATGGTTTTATAAGTGTTCGGTAGTTCTTCTCTTGCTCACTCTTCTCATCTGCCACCATGTACGACGTGCCTGCTTCCCCTTCCACCATGATTGTAAGTTTCCTGAGGCCTCCCCAGCCATGCGGAACTGAGTCAATTAAATCTCCTTCCTTTATAAATTACCCAATCTCAGGTATTCCTTTATAGCAGTGTGAAAGCAGACTAATACACTAGGATGATAGGCATAAGCCATTGCACCTGACCTCTTTGTATTCTTTATTTGCTGAATCAGGAATATTTGAACTATTTCTGAACTTTTCTGAATTTATTAAGAGGACTATATCATTTTCCTCCTTTATTATGTTAATACGTGAAATACATTAATTGATTTTTGGATTAAACAATCTTGTACTCCTGGGATAAACCCCACTTGGTCATGATGTACTAACATTTTTATATATTGCTGTATTCAACATAATATTTCATTAAGGATTTTTGTGTCTATGATCATAAGGAATATTGATGAATTTTCTTTGCTTGAAATATTTTTCTCAGATTTTGGTATCTGGATAATGTCTGCCTCATAAAATGGGCTCCTCAATTTTCTGAATTTACCTAACTTTAATATTATTACTTGTTTGTGATATTCACCAAAGAAACCATATGGACCTGGAGTTTTCTTCATGGGGGTAAAGTTTTTTTGCCACAAATTCAAATTTTTAGATATAAGGCTATTCATTTTTTCTATTCCATCTTGCATTAGCTTAATCTGAGAACATGTCTAATTTATTGAATTTTTTCGTATAAAATTTTCATAATATTCCCTTATTATTTTTTTTTAATTGAGATGGAGTTTCACTCGTTGCCCAGGCTGTACAGTGGTGCAATCTCAGCTCACTGCAACCTCTGCCTCCCAGGTTCAAGTGATTCTCCTGCCTCAGCCTCCTGAGTAGTTGGGATTACAGGCGTGCACTACCAGGCCCAGCTAATTTTGTATTTTTAGTAGAGATGGGGTTTCACCATGTTGGTCAGGCTGGTTTTGAACTCCTGACCTCAAGTGATCCACCCACCTCTGCCTCCAAAGTGCATGAGCCACTGTGCCCAGCCTCTCTTATTATTCTTTTAATGTTAGTATGATCTATAGTCATATAACTTTCATTCCCAATTTTGGTCATTTCTGTTTTCTCTTTCCTTATCAGTTTTGTTGGGGGTTCATCAAGTTTATTGTACTTTCCAAAGAACAAACTTTAGACTTTTTAAATTTTCTCTATTGTCTCTATTTGGCTGCTTTCTGTCCTTATCTTTACTTATTTTGGGTTCGGTTTGGTCTTCTTTTTCTAATTTCTTAAGGAAGTTTAGAGACAGAGCAAGATTTGTGTGTGAAGCATCCCAAATTCAAGCTTCATTATCACTTTCACTGGAAGTCTTGGAGACTACCTCCAGGTTGTAGACACACACAAACATACACACACACACACACACATACAGATTTGCCTGAGCTCAGGAGCAAATGTTCATCTTTCCCACGTTGACTGTTTCTGCTGCATATTGCAGCACATTGTACAAGACCCAGGGCCAAAGTTCTGAAGGACCAGGTTCACTGCTTTGAACATGTCTAGAAAGTCCACTAGTGCGTCATCATGGCTCAGACTAAACATGAGTCTGAACTTTCAGGCAAAGATAAGGTCCTAAAGTTTAAATCTCTTTCACATTTCTAAAGACTTTCCTAGGAAACCAGCAGGGAGAGTGTTGTCTCTGCATCACTGTCCACATAAATTTGAGCTCTTTAGATATAAAGGTTACTTATTCTGGACCATGGACCATGGATACCTACAGCTATAATTTTTTAGGTTTTAGCACCCTGATCAACAAGTGCTGTCAACCAATCTGAGATAATTAAAAATTCTAAAATTTGAGTTGGTGGGAGAAAAGGTGTATGGGCAGGTTGGGATAAGAGGAAAATAAGGGAAGAAGACTACTACAGTTTCAAACACAACTGATGATTTCAAACACAACTGATGATGTAAGCAAAGGGTTCAAAAATTGGAAAATAAGAGCTACTCGAAAGGCTGAGGCAGAAGGACTACCTGAGCCCAGTACTTCAAGGACAACCTGGGAAACATAGTGAGGACCCATCTTTAAAAAAAAAAACTAAAAATAAACTGGAGAATTAAAGAATTAGGTCTGTTGCCCTCCTAGTTGGAAGTCTGTAGAAGCCAATGATTTCCAAGGAGACTTTAAGCCTAGAAAGTAAGTCAAGCAATTAACTTAGGTTTTCTGGACATCTTCTATTTCCCTCAGATTTTCTCCGCATCTCTTTTCAGCAGTATGTCTTCTACAATTTATTAATTTCCATTATGGCCTTAAATCTGTGGAAACTTTTCCATTGTGAAGTCATGAAAATTGGAAAAGAATCTGGAGGAATAACATACCATGAGACAGACCTGCCTCCAAACCAGACATCTCTTTCAGTATTTGTGAGGCCTCCCTTCAGTTTCTTTACTACTCAGAGCTTCACCAGGACAATCAAACAAACATAGAGGTTGTGGGAGCTCTAATGCAGCAATGAAGGTGAAGGTGAAGCCTGCTTGCTAAGAACAATCTGCTGTCATAAGACATTTAAAGAAAGGTAATATTTTTGGACATTTTTCTGTAACTGAAAAGATATTAAATATACAATGCATCTTGTCTTTTATCCTTTCAAAACTATTTACTGAATGTCCACTATGTACCAGGCATTGTGTGAGGGATAAAAAGATTAAATGGTAAGCAAAGAAACAGAGAAAAGAAAGCTTAAAGGCAGTTGTGAATGGAAAAGGTGGGAATGGAGGAGAAAACCTGAATTGTTAGTGAGTTCCTTTATTACCAAAGACTGCATGTTCTTAGACCCTTGAATCAGGAAAAAAAAAAAAAAAAAAAAAAACAAGTAGCTATGCTGGATCTCTGCTGACATGAATGGCAGGGAGTGGGTGTGTGTGTGTGTGTGTGTGTGTGTGTGTGGTAGGTTTTGGAGAAGATGAGAGAGCATAAGGAGAATACCTCAATTTCTGCCCAATAGAAGTGGGAGGATGGAATCACTGATGTTCCAGAAGCTAAGAAAGGAAAAATGTAAATTATTTTCTTTACGCATGTGGTTTGCACAACATCCTCCAACATAAGACTCCCACTTGGGTCCTAAAGTTGGAAAAATCTGGGGAGTATAAAGAAGGGGAACAGAGCAACAAGACTTGACACAGTATGCCAGATGTCAGCACTAGCAGACTGACTTCCAAAGGGGGAGCTTTTTCAGATATTCTCCAGGTGCATCGGTCATGTGCCTTACAAACCTGGCTGGAATTAATGACCTTTGTGTAAATTACAGAGATATATTTCTCACATAATTCCCCGTGTGCAGCAGGGTAGCAAGGAAAGAGTTCTTTAAGTGGGGATAATCTGAAGAGCCCTTAAGAACTCCCTACTCCAAATAGTATTTCCCATGTTGACTGAAATTCTTCATTTTGTTTCACTGCTTCAGAACTGATCGATCTGTGATCATCTCACCATAACTGCAGAGGCAGTTATAGCATAGTATAGTAATTAGAGCGTGAATTCTGAAATCAGATTGCCTTGTTCACCCTGGACTTCACCACAAATTGTTCATGTGTCTTAATAATTACTAAGAATTACATTGACGGCCGGGCGCGGTGGCTCACGCCTGTAATCCCAGCACTTTGGGAGGCCGAGGCGGGTGGATCATGAGGTCAGGAGATCGAGACCATCCTGGCTAACAAGGTGAAACCCCGTCTCTACTAAAAATACAAAAAAAATTAGCCGGGCGCGGTGGCGGGCGCCTGTAGTCCCAGCTACTCGGGAGGCTGAGGCAGGAGAATGGCGTGAACCCGGGAAGCGGAGCTTGCAGTGAGCCAAGATTGCGCCACTGCAGTCCGCAGTCCCGCCTGGGCGACAGAGCGAGACTCCGTCTCAAAAAAAAAAAAAAAAAAAAAAGAATTACATTGACTGAGCATGTAATCATGTAGCAAGGATGGGGTCAAGCACTTTTCATGCATTAACATGTTATCGTCAGTCCTCTCAACTCCCTTTGAGGTAGGTATCATTACTATCATTATCATTTTATGGATGAGGGAATTGAGGCACATATCTAACTTTCAGATCCAAAACTAGGAAATGGGGAAAGTGAAATTCAAATCTAAGCAGACTTAACTACTACACCACAGTCCCCTCATTTAAACCTTCTAAGCCACAATACCTACCTCATAGAATTGTTTAATTATGTTTAAGATAATGCTTATAGATTTGATGGAGTGAAAAAAGTGTGCAATATGATTACTGTTATTTCATATAAATGAATTCTTTTAAATATTGGAGGAGTACCCAGAAAATCCAATTCAACTTTATTAGGTGCTAAGGTGATATAGTGATAAGACTTGATTCCTGCCCTCAAGAAGCTCATAGAATTCAAGGCTTGATTACATTGCTCCACTTCACAAAATCCTAACAGTTCTACATTGCTTTCAGAAAGCTTACATCCCTAGGTTGGCACAAATGGCCCAACAAGGGGGAGGGGGGAGGGATAACATTAGGAGATATACCTAATGCTAAATGACAAGTTAATGGGTGCAGCACACCAGCATGGCACATGTATATATATGTAACTAACCTGCACATTGTGCACATGTACCCTAAAACTTAAAGTATAATAATAATAAAAAAAAAAGAAAAAAAAAATGGCCCAACACAATTGCAAGTTTTCTTACTCTCTGGCTGCATCTCCTGCCACTTCCTTGTTCACGGTCCAGCTTGAGACTTAACCATTCTTCAGACATGCCATATATTTCATATCTCCATGTCCTATGTGCTGTTCCATCAATCTGAAAAACTCCCTTCCCTACCTCCATTTCCCCACCTTCAGTATTCAACTCAACTCTTTCTGGAATTCCTCACCTCCTTCTAGATTAGCTGTTCCTTCTCCGTGTTCCCAAAGAATCCTCTGCACACATATTGCACTTATTACATTATACTGAAACTGCTTATCTGCCTCCTCCATTACTCTGTGAGTTGCTCAAGGGCAGACTGTCCTAGTGGTCTCATCCTAGCTCCCAGAACAACATAGGTACAGTAGACACTCAATGAATGTGTAGAACAGATGAACAAACTGTAATTAGTGCTCTAATAGAGTATACGGTTTTGTTTTGTTTTTTTGTAGAGGCAGTGTCTTGCTGTTGCCTAGACTGGAGTGCAGTGGTGCAATCATGGCTCACTGCAGCCTCAAACTCCTGGGCTCAAGCGATCCTCCCACCTCAGCCTCCTGAATAGCTGGGACTACAGGCACACCACCAACATAACTGGCTAATTTACTAACTTTTCTTTTTGTAGAGACAGGGTCTCACTTTGTTGCCCAGGCTGGTTTTAAACTCCTAGCCTCAAGCTATCCTCTTGCCTCGGCCTCTCAAAGTGCTGGGATTACAGGCATGGGCCAACACGCCCGGCAAGTATAATTTAATGGAAGAATGAGAAGAGAAAAAAATTGAATGTCTATGATGACTTGACAAAGGTGGTATCTGAATTGGTTCTTTATAGTAAGATAGTTGTTTTCTAGAGAAACAGAAACAATAAGAGAGAGATCGAGATAGACAGAGATATAGATTGATGGTGAGGAACTGGCTTACATGACTATGGAAGTTAAGGAGTCCCGTGATCTGCCGCCTGCAAGCTGGAGACCCAGGAAAGGTGGTGATGGTGTAATTTGTCTGAGTCCAAAGGCATAAGAACCAGAACTGATAGCGTAAATTCTAGTTCAACTTCAAAAGCCTCAGAACTGAAGGGCAGAAGGCATATGTCCCAATCCAAAGGCAGGAGAAGACCCATGGGCAGGAGAACACTCAAGCAGTCAGGCAGAAACGGAGAATTCTTCTTTTCTGCATCTTTTTGTTCTATTCAGGCCCTCAACCGATTGGCTAATGCCCATCCACATTGGGGACAGCAATGTGCTTTACTCCATCTACCGATTCAAACCTCTTCTGGAAACACCCTCACAGACACACATAGGAATAATGTTTAACCAGGTATCTGGGCATCCTGTGGCCCAGGCAAGTTGACACGTAAAATTTATGATGACAGTCTGGGTGTGGTGGCTCATGCCTGTAATCCCAGCACTATGGGAGGCCGACGTGGGCAGATCACGAGGTCAAGAGTTCGAGACCAGCCTGGCCCAATATGGTGAAACCCCATCTCTACTAAAATCACAAAAATGAGCCGGGGTGGTGGCAGGTGCCTGTAATCCCAGCTACTTGGGAGGCTCAGGCAGGAGAATTGCTTGAACTCAGGAGGCAGAGGTTGCAGTGGGCTGAGATCATGCCACTGCACTCCAGCTTGGGCAACAGAGCAAGACTCTATCTCAAAAAAAAAAAAAATTACCATCACAGAATTTGGATCATTGGATACATGCAGAGGACCTCCAATAAAAAAGGACCTCCAAATAAAAAAGTACATGGAAAAAACTCCTGGGGCATAACCAGACCCCTGTGACTAGAGCACAGGGAAGAAACATGAATGATAAGGACATAGTACCAATAAAATGGAAGTGCAGAGAATCTATTCTCAGGCAATTTCCAATTAAAAATCTTACTGCTGCAAATAATTTGTTCAGCTCCCAATTCTTTTATTTGTATTTCTTCTCATTTATTCATAACTGACCCCTGATAAACTATAGCAAAAATACAACCATGTGTGTACAAGAAGGGGTCACAGCAAAAGGATAGAAATAGAGAAAGGAAAATAGTAGAGAAAGAAAAATAGAAGGAAACTATTCTAAATTATGACACCAAGCAGATAGGAGTGTATTCACCTGTATAAGAGCAGAGACCATGTCATCAGCAGGTTGATTATTCTTTTTAAATTTTTCATTTCTGACTACATATATAACAGACCCATGCTAACTAAGGATGCAGAGACAGATCCCTGGAGGCAACCAGTATCATTTTAGAAAGGAAACCTTTGGCCCAATGGGACTTCGAACTGCACCTAATAAGCCAATGGCATTGCTAACAAGTCAGTGATATTTGGGGTATAGTACTGAATAGAGGCTACATAACACAAGGGCGAAAAGTACACAACTACTTCAGTCCTTGTGCCAGGCACGGTAGCTCACACCTGTAATCCCAGCACTTACGGAGGCAGAGGCACGAGGATAGCTTGAGTCCAGGAGTTCAAGACCTGCCTGAGCAACATAGTGAGGCCCTGTTCTCCAGAAAAAGGGGGGAAAAAAAAAAGATTAAAAAAATAGTAAGTTGGAACTCATTGTGCTCCCTGGTTAAAGTGCCAATTCAGTATTTACTGCACACCTGTTATAGGAAAGACACTATTTTCGGCACAGAGAGGGATACCTGGAGAAATTTGGTATGATCCAGGTCCACTAAGAATGCACAAAGTAGATGAGCCAAATGTGTACACGATAATGCAATTTAGAGTGTTGTGAGTATGTTTAAAACGCAGCATGGAAGGAAAAATAAGTCATCCATTAATCTTAATAAGAGAAATGGAGGAAGTTTCATGGCAAAGCCAGAAAGGACTCCTAAGAAAAGTTT
The DNA here is from genome assembly GCF_000001405.40 of Homo sapiens. Lineage (NCBI taxonomy): Eukaryota > Metazoa > Chordata > Mammalia > Primates > Hominidae > Homo > Homo sapiens. Next base: position 99,801,032 of record NC_000009.12, read on the forward strand.
TCATTGTGTTTCTTCATTTTATAATTGTTTTAACTATAAAGGTAATACGTGTTTACTATAGAAAATCCAAAAATACAAATAAGCAAAAAAAAAGAACACAAACCACTGCATTTCTGTATATCCCATTTCTTTATTTATTTATAAAAGTGAGAACATATTGTACATAATTTTCAGTAAGCTTGTTTTTAGGCAATAATATATTACAGCCATCTTTCCATGTTATTTATTATACTTCTACAACTGACTTTTATATTTAAATAGGTGCACATCAAAAGGTATAAAAGAGGACACAGTAAAAGCCTGACTCTCTCATCCCATGACCCATGACCTTATAATTTTAACCAGAAGCAGCCACTGTTACATTTTTTGTGATCCTTCCAGTTTCTTGTGATCCCTCCATAAATATTCTATGAATATATGAGCATACATGTATATATTTCTCTTTTTAAGTAAATGGTAGCTGTGAACACACGGTTCTGTACCTTGCATTTCTCTCCCCAGTCAGTACATATATCACTGCCTCTCAGTGGCTGCAGTGTTTCAATGTATGGATAAACAATAATTTACTCAGTCCCCTTTGATGGACATTCAGAATGTTTCCAACTCAGTCCCCTTTGATGGACATTCAGAATGCTTCCAATCTTTTACTATTACAATATTACTAGGTATATCCTCCAAGTGTAAACATGTATATATTTGTGGGTATATCTGTAGGAAAAATTGCTGGAAGTGGAATTTTGAGGTCAAAGAACATGTATGTTTTAAAATTTGACAGATATCACACAGTGTCCTCCACTAAGGCATTCCTAATTTCTACTCCTTCCAACTACAAATGAGACTGTTACCACACCTGTGGTTCCCCAGCCAGATAATGTTTTCCATTTCCCTCCCCTGGAACACACATCTTGCAGACAGGTGAGGTAACGCATCTAGTTCCGGCCAATGGAATGTGGGAATGTGAACAGAACTGATGTGTGTCGTATCCAGGCCAAGGTAACTGAGAAGAAAGTATGCATTCTCCACCCTATCTCTGCAATTCTGTCCACTGGAAACAGAAGAATTCAAGGCCCTAGGGAATGGTGGATCCCTATAATGGAAGGAGCCTATGTCCCTGAGTTACCATACAGAAAAAAACAACTGTCTGCCAACCAGAAACATCCGCAGTGGACTATTACATGAGGGAAAAATAAATTTATATTTTATTAAGCCACTGAAAAGTTGGTATTTGTTGTAACATCTCGCTTTACCCTAACTAATACACCAAGATACCCTTTTTTATATAAACATCAGATCTACAGTTCTGAAGATACTCTTAGGGAATGTTGCTCAAGTATTTCAAAATTAACTTTCAAAGTTAACTATGATATTGGCTGTACTGTTAAGAAAATAGCCTTCATTTCCTGGATTAACAAGAGCTGTTTTTTGTTTCTTTGGTTTTTATCAAGAATGAGTAGTGATTTATCAAATACCTTTGCAGTATTTGTGAAAATGATTCTAAGTTTTTTTCCTTTGATCTATTAGAGTGATATCTTACATTAGTATTTCCTAATGTTGAAATAGTCTCACATTTCTAAAATAAACCATGTTTACTTGTATATTTTATTTTGTATATGCTGTTGAATGCAAGGGAATAACTGAAACAAAATAATAGATTGGGTAATTCTTTAAACATGATTTATAAATTTTAAATTTCAATTGAGGAAGTAAAAAGTACAGGAGACCCTCCAAAGAACAAATCTGTTATCTGGAAAAGCAGGTGAATGTGTATCACATTATCTGGAGCAAAAAAAAAAGAAATGGAATTCTTGAATAAAAAGATGAGAGAACTAACCAGCAGGTCCAGGAGGTCTAATTGGAAATAAAAGGCATTCAGAGAGAGAACAAGGACCATAATGGAAAAAGTAATAATCAAAACATAATACAAGAAAACTTCCCTCAGGAGGAGACTAGAATTATGAAATCAAAAGGGCTCATTGAGTACCAGACAGGATAAATGAAAAAGGGCATATACCTATATATATATCCTAGTCAGATTTCTAATTTCTGAGCTTCAAAATAAAGAAAACAGAAAAGCTTTTAGAAAGTAAGAACGAGTTACTTATAAACAAATGAGCTTGAGGCTGTCATTGGACATGGTTAAGAACACGGGCACTGAATGAAGTAAGGCTACCTGGGTTCAAATTTTGGTGTGAACTTAGGTTGGGTTGCTTAACTTCTTTATGCTTCTGTAAAATAGGGACAATGTTAGTACTTAGCTTCTCAGGTTGGCTGGAAGCAACATCTGATATAATACATGGAAGAGCCTAGCACACACAGTCAGTATACTTCTATCTGTTAACATCTAAAGCTGTATGAGTGAGTCAAAATTTTACACATTTTTGAGAAGATAAAAGCCCGAACCCTCCTCAGAACATAGCATACAGCACTAATAGTCTGAAGAACTGCACAACAGCCCCACTCTAACATCTCTAATGGTAGCTGAGCCCCATGCTAGTGAGAAGTGAGGTGGTGGGCAGAAGGAATCTCACTGACTTATTTCAATTAATGTGAGCAGGGCAAGAACAACTTTTTTTTGGCCTGGAGCTGAAGATTATTGGAGATGAAAAAAGTTGTAGGCTCTGTCAGCATAAAAGGACACAGAGTGAAGTCTCTTAAAGTCAGCAGGGACAATTCTACAATTAATAGACCTTATTACCAATGGGGACCCTCCATAAAGTAAATTGTAATGAGACTTGTGGCTGCCAGATTTGGGTATCATAAGAAGTTCTTTCATTCATACAGCTAATGTTGTCTGAGCACATCTACCACGTGTCCGGAACTACACTGGGGATCTAGCTGTATACAAGGCATGCCAAGTCCCTCCCTCAAAGAGTTTACATACATAGATCACCTTAATTAATATGACTCAAATTAGAATGCCCATATGACATAAGAAATGAATCATACTAAAACCATTAACAAAATCTTTGTCTCTCTCTCATACACACACCCCCCCTTTTATCTCAATTACACAAGAAATGAAAAAGTCAACTTGTAATACTGTTAATAAAAAAAGTGAGCTGCTACTTAATTTAGTCCCGTTTTTTATAGTTTGCAAATGTAAAAGCTAGCACAACAATTTGGTGGAACTCTTGAGTAATCACCTCAATTCTTTCTGCCAAAGCAGTCAGTGACTGCCTTTTGGAGAAAATATCATATTTTTCACTTTATACTGATTTACTCCTTCTCCAATTTGTGTTCAAGATATTTGACCTCTGAAAGTTTAACAAGCACTTACTAAACAGCACCAACCAGAAATATTTTTAAAGTTCCTTTCTACCTACTAGCCAAAAATTCCCTAGCCCACTTGCCCATCTTCAAACAGAAGCATATCTCTTCAATCCAAAAGGAAGATACAGCATTAAACAGCATATAATGAATTTAGTGGGTTAAATGGTGGCTCCTGAAAAGACACATCCATATCCCAATCCCCAGACCCTGTGAATATTACTTTATTTGAAGAAAAGGTCTTTGCAGATGTAATTAAAAATTTTCAGGTGAGATCATCTTGGATTATCCAGGTGTACCCTAAATCCAGTGACAAGTAGATTCTCTTAAAGTCAGTCCTTAGAAGAAAAAGGCAGAGAGAGAGATTTGAGACACACAGAAGAGAAGACACAGAACAGAAAAGAAGGCTATAATGACCACAGAGGCAGAGACTGGAGTGAGGCAGCCACAAGTCAAGGAATGCCCCATACACAACAGAAACTGGAAGAGGCAAGGAACAGATTTCTCCCCCAAAGAGCCTCCAGAGGGAATGTGGCTCAGCCAACACCTTGATTTTGGACTTCTGGCCTCCAAAAGAGTTAAAGAATAAATTTCTATTGCTTTAAGCGACCTAGTTTGTAGTAATTTGTTACAGCAACCACAAAAAAGCAACACAGTGAGCAAAAGCATTTTGGTAGGGAGCCCTGGGTTCAAGTCCCACTCCTGTCATTTAGTCCCTATTTGCTTCAGTAAGTCTGTTAGCCTCTCAGAACCTCCAAACCTGTACTACTATTACCCTGAGTTCTTATAAGAATCAAAGGAGATCTTGTATATGAAAACATTCAGAGTATTATAAAGTCCCATACAAATATGAATTATTATTCTTATACTTTACCTGGAATTTCAAATGAGTTTGGAGCCTGGGCTCTTTAATCAAGTCCTTTTGTTACAACTCTTTACACAAATAATACCTGCCTAATTTCAGCAGTGCCAACATTGTATCAGTTATTATTATTTTAGAGATGGGGTCTTGCTCTGTCCCCCAGGCTAGAGTACAGTGGGGCAATCATATCTCACTGCAGCCTCAAACTCCTGGGCTCCAGCGATCCTCCTGGCTCAGCCTTCTAAGTAGCTGGGAATACAGGCACTCACCACCACATTGGGCTTGCTATTTATGTATTTATTTATGAGTGAATGAGAGGGGGGTCTCACTATGTTGCCCAGGCTGGTCTGGAACTCTTGGCCTCAAGCAATCCTCCCACCTCAGACTCCCAAGTCTCTGGGATTACAAGTGTGAGTCACCACAGGCCCCATATCAATTCTTAACATCAACTTTTATTTATAGAATTAAGCTGTCACTAATGTACACAGTATCTCTTTAGTACTAGGATTTAATGAAGTCTCATTACCACTAACCTTATCATCTATTTTACTTCCCTCCAGATATCCTCTATTATCACATCAATTTAGTAGCGAGATCATCTAATTGGTTTATTGGCCCCATTTACATTAACAAATCAGTTTTAACCAGTTTACTTTCAATAATATTTGTGAACTCCTTAACATAATCATATATTATTTCTCTAAACTAACCTTAATTATTCCATACTGAATTCTTCTCAGCCAAGAATGAACCATTAATAACTCTTCTTCCTATTTCTGGTTTTCCCCAACAGGTAGATTCTGATCTACTGCCAGACCTAGTTCTTCTTTCCTGAAATAAAGTATATTTATGAAGTACAATAATAAATTAAGGCTATCAGCTCCACAAGTTATGCACAAAAATTAATTTCGTAACTCTATAATCTCACTTCATCCACACACGAGTTTATATTTTCTATGGAATTTTTCCATTACTATTTCATAAGAAAGGCCACCAAACATACTCCAAGTTATGGAATGGCTGGTCAACTGCAAGCTTCAATTTTTTTCCTTCAGGGCAAGGAAGTTTGACATTAAAAATAAGGAAATGGCATATTGATAATGCAGTCTGATATAAGAATTTATTTTCTTATGCCTTTTAACCATTGAATTTGAATGGCATTCCAGTCTTAACTTAGATCTAACAGAGTATTATAAAAATATTATTCTCTGAAATTTTGCCTCTTCAGAAATCTTTAAACAAATGTAAAATAATCTTTCCCAAACAGAAGTTGAAACAGTAAAAACTTCAATGGACTTTGAGATTTGCAAATGTAACAATCACTTACAATCATTATCACTAACGATTTATATCCTTAAGATGAAACATCCTTCAAGAATGCATTAGGTGCACCAGGTGCAGTGGCTAATGCCTGTAATCCCAACACTTTGAGAGGCCAAGGTAGGAGAATCCCTTGAGCCCAGTTCACGACCAGCCTGGGCAACACAGGGAGACCTCATCTCTACAAAAAATGAATAAAATTAGCCTGGTGTGGTGGTGCACACCTGTAGTCCCAGCTACTCAGGAGGCTGAAGTGGGAGGACTGCTTGAGCCCAGGAGGTCAAGGCTGCAGTGAACCGAAACTGCACCATGGCACTCCAACCTGGGCAATAGAGTGAGGCCTTGCCTCAAAAAAAAAAAAAAAAAAAAAAAAAAAAAGCATTAGGTGCTCCTCCTGAGTCACTAAAGTATGGGTGATGTTATTTTAATATACTTAACTTCACTGCCTTTCCATAGGTAGCAATTAAATCATTCCCAAGATGCAAGTTAAACATTTGGTTCTCAGGATCACCAGTAAAAATTTCAAATCAAAACTTAGGAAATCCACAGCCACTATTTTGTACAAACATAGATTAATACTACTCTATGGCATAACCCACAACTTTAAATATTTATCCCCCTGTGAATGGGATTATAAAGGTACCTACTATATCATCTCAGACCCAATAAGAAGTTTAGCAACAAATGTCTCCTAATTTTCATGATCTCCATGTGGCCTATATAAAAGTAAACTGTGAACCTCTTCCAACAACAGTAGCCTCTACATTTTTTAACCAATTTCACATGAGACTGACAAGATACTAGTTATCCTGAGAAATGTGTTAAGTTTCCTGACAAATAAAGCCTGAACTAAGATCTCCCTTAAGTAGTCTAACTCTACAACCTCAGAATTCTTAAGAAACAAAAAATATCCTAAGAAGTTATCCATTCCCCTCATCCATCTTAGCAACCAAGTGGAGAATCTGGCCCCTCGCCACTAGAGGGGGGTGTTTCTTTTATTGGTTTCTCTTTCCCCCTAATTCGGCTGACCAGAATTTCTGGTTGAACTAGAAATAAGCCTCAAGATCAACATCCTGACCTTTATTTTTAATATCGTGTGGCCTTTTTTCTTTTTTTCAGGCCTAGTTAACACTAAAATATAAATTTCAATCCCTAATTACTTGTACTATTATGCCCCACATCATACTCCGTTGCCTTTCTACAAAGAGACTAACAAACTACACAATTTAGAGACTTTGACATTAGTTCACTGAAAATAAACAGAAAATCCAACCAAGTTTGAGTGTTTTTTTAAAAAAACCTTCTCATTTGCCAGGTTCATTATTTCATTTGAATCACTATAATACTATTTTAAAAATTAGACAGACAATAGCAACAAACTTTAAGGAAAAAATATACTTAAGAGACTTGCCCAAAATTTCAGGTAGCAAATGGCTAGGCCATAATGAAGACTCAAATGCTCTGACTCCTAGACCATTTCCAGTTCTATTATTCTATGCCATGAGTGAAAGGTACTAGATGAGAAGACCAAGGGGTGAACTACTCTTACTTTTTACTCTACCAGTCTAGAGCAAATAGATGTATGATTACTCATGTAACTCACTATTGCTCCTGGCAAATAACATATACCCATCTGCTTAGAATAGTCTCCACTGGCCACAAAATCAAGTCACAAGATGAGGAAGGAGTGGATGAAGGAGATAAGGGGAAAGAGTTGCAGAAGAGAAGAAAATAAATCTATCAAACAATCTTGAGGTCAGGCATGAGACACAAAATATACAAAAGTGAGGACCAAGATCTAAGCAAGAAATCAGAATCAGAATCAGAAAAAGAAGGAATGAACAACAAATGGTAGCAGTCACACCACCAGATATTCAAACAACCCAAAAGACTCTGGAAGAGACAATGAGTGCTGTTTGATTCCTTGCTGCTTCCTATGAAGATCCCTGGTCTAAGGCAGAGCCCCTTAGAAAAGATAGAGACAAGACCTGGCCAGTTAGAATCTGCATCCACTTTATGAAGGCAGAAGACATGGGGAGGGAAGAGCCCCAGCAAAAAGAAACCTATCCAAATAATATCAAATCCACCTGACGTGAATCTGCTTGGGACAAAGTAGGTATCACATCAGGATGTTTCTGGCTGCAAATGACAAATTCGCAGATCATGCCTACTTACACAATGAGGAACTGTATTATCTCACAGAACTGGAAGTTCAGAGGTAAGGCAGACCAAGTACAATACAATCAGCAATTCAGGAAGGTCATCAAGGGCTCAGGTTTCTTCCATCTGTTCTGTCATCATCTAGATCAGCTGCACCCCCCAAAGCTAGTTTCCCTCATGGTCCCAAGATGGATAGAGCAGTTCTAGCCACTATACTCAAACATAAAATCACAGGGAGATGAGGCATCATCTCTTTCTTTTCTCTCTGTTTAGAATCAATAAATCCTTTCCCAGAAGCACTCAAGCCGTCTGTAGACTTTTCCTTCATCTCTCATTGGCCAGAATAGGTTACAGGCCATTCCTAACTCTTCACCGGCAAGGGAAATGGGATTAACCATGACTGCTTAGACAAATCACCTGCGGTGGGATGAATACTGGGGAGTCAATCACCATGACCATACCATGGGCAATTTATACTGATGAGTATTATTATGACATTGTTTTCACTCCATAACAAATCTATAATGTGATTATGCTGCTTCAATGATCTTAACTACAAGGCATGTGCTTTGCCTGAAATCCAGATAATTACTCTTTGCTCACATCCCATATTTTTCAACATGAACTTATTTATCAGATAGAAAACATTTTATTAAAACTTTCCCAGTCAGGCCAGGCATGGTGGCTCACACCTATAACCCCAGCACTTTGGGAGGCCAAGGTAGGAGGATCCCTTGAGCCCAGGAGTTTGAGACCAGCCTGGACAACATAGGGAAACCCCTGTCTCTACAATTAAAAAAAATTAGCCCGGTGTGGTGGCATATACCTGTAGTCCCAGCTACCTGAAGCCAGTAGGATCGCTTGAGCCGGGAGGTCAAGGATGCAATGAGCCATGGTCTTGCCACTGCTCTCCAGCCTGAACAACAGATCAAGACTTTGTCTCAAAGAAAAACAAACAAACAAAAACTTTCTTGGTCAATCCACTGTAAAAAAAAAAAAACAAAAAACAATAACTTTAATGTAACATCTTAGAAGCAAGAGTAGTAACTCATTTGTCTCCCACAGCAACTACAGTGGATACAGCCACCTAGAACCCAACCTTGAGAAAGACTTAAAGCTGAGTCTGGATCTAGTGAGAAATAGTGCCATGACTGATTAGTGAGTCTATCATGACTCAGGTTCAGGCACAACACATAGCACATATTTGCCAACCCTGTTTTAGAGAAAATCTCCTAATTTCCCTCCACTGATAATGGAGTTCTCTGCTGCAATGCCTCTTTATTCTTATTTTAATGGAGACCCAATATAATCCCTCCCATCTCTTCACTCTATCTGATTTGCATACATATACATATAACATATATCAAGCATGAACTCCAAAAAAATTTTTATATATAACCAGAGAGTTCCACAGGAATTCTGGAACCAGGCCTCTTTAGTAACCATAGAAAGGCTTGGCAGAATGGTTTCATTTACAAAGTGTCTCACTTAAAGCAGGCAGGGGGGCCTTGAGAGCCCAGGCTGGATGCAGGCCTAGGCAGGATTGAGGGACAGAAGGGAAAAGAGAAAGGCAATCTATTCCCAGCTAAAGGTAGCCTGGCCCACAGTTGCACAAAGGAACCAAAATCTGATTCTCAACAAAAGTGACTAACCAATAACTGGAGAATGCTTAAATAAATTATGGCAAATTACAAACTATAGGTAGAGTTTATGTGTATAAAATGCACTTAGAAGGATAGGGAAGGACAACAGTGGTTATTCCTGGGTGAATTAATTTATAGCTTTTTTCTTTTTTCCTTCTAGTCTTTATCTACATTTTTCTGAATGTCCTGTACTGCATATGCACAGCCTTTTTTATGAGGGGAAAAGAAAAATAATACAGGAAACATGTTTTTATCTTATCACTGGGTGTTTTGTTTGTTCCAATTAACCTCTTATTGCCTTTTAGTTAAGATTACTCTTGTCCAACTATTCTCCTATTACTGGGTAGCTAGGTTGCTTTAACTTTTTGAAATCACAAGCAATCAAATGCTGCCATAGCTGAAAGTTAACTTGAACTGTAAAAGAAAAATACTGGAAAAGTCCCTAGAAAATGGACCAAAAGTATCTAATCATTTTACACTGAAATTACCACTACTCAAAAACTATTAACAGGATATTCATTTTGACCAACTCATTGTTTTGACGAAATCATTGTTTCAATTAATAGCTGATTACAACAAATCAGTTAACCAACTTGCTTTCAGCTAAATTGTACTTGACCACATTGCTTTTGGCCAAAATAACTTTTAAGTCAAATTGGTACTGGACAAAGAGGGTACTACCAGCATCAGGCGGCAAGTCTGAAGGCAGAGATAAGAAACAGGATCAAAAGGTAAGCCTCAATAATAAAGAATAGGCAAGATGGCCTGGACAAGTTTAGAAAGGAAATATAGCCTAGGGCAATGGTTCAAAGTGGAAGGAAGTCTTTTATCAGGTAGCTATAAAACTAGCCCACATAGCTTAGAGAATGCTAGTAAGGAAAGGTATCAAATAAATTCAGTTTCATCTGCCTGCTTGGACACTCTCACCTAGAAGAACAAAGCTAGGGTTTTCCCTAGGTTCCACAGATGAAACAACATCTGCTTGGGGTTCAAACTGAGAAGGAATGTTTCCAAAATCATTTATCCACAGCCTCACTTTCCAAGTAAATGAGGTTCTTGAGCTGGCCATTGCATCATGGGGAATCAACACCACCTTGTTGGCATTTTATGGTTCCCATCTCAAATTACAGAAGGTAATATCCCATGCTGTCAGACAAAGCAGAGGTAGCAGATGAGAGTAATTTGCATGGAGGGAAGCAACCCAAATCGGACTGCCTCTAGAGTAAAGGACCCAGGTAGTACACCTTTAGCTTCTGGAATAACTGATCACCATGACTAGAGAGAGCCCGAAGACATCTCCAGTTTGAACAGTCTTCTAAGGAACCTGATTACAGTTAGGATTTCTTTTTAACCAGTTATTGCTCAATGAAAAATCCTGGAGAGCTTCTGAGTACCCCGTATTCATTCCAACATTAACTGACTGCCAGGCTGCGTGCGGTATTGCTGAGGAAAGCAGGGAGGCAGCAGGGAGAAAGACATCTCTGCCACTGAAGAAGGTGTTCTACAGGAAGGAAAGCAGAGAATTGTATTCATATTCAGTCACAGCAGAGTAGGTGTGAAAAAAAAAAGGAGATGAATCAGTCTTGTTTTGAGTAAGAAGCAAAACAGCGTAGAGGTAGACTATTCACAAATGGTGTTGAGACAACTGCGTAGCCATTTGGAAAAAAATAAAGTTGGACCTACCTCTCATACCATACACCAGGAAAAATGGATCAAAAATTTAAATGCAAAACAGAAACCATGAAAGTAGTAAAAGCCAACGTGAGGGAATTCTTTCATAACCTTGGAGTAGTATAGATTTTTCTAACTATGACTAAATCTAGAAGTCATAAAAGACTGACAAATTCAAGTACATTTTTTAAAAAATCTACATAGCAAAAACATCATAAGCAAAGTTGAAAGACAAATGACAAACTACGGGGAAATACGCTGCAACTCATATAACAAAGGGCAAATCTCCATATTATAAACAGCAACTACAAAGTGATTTTTAAACCACCCCCACCTCCCAAAATAGGCAAAGGATATAAGACACACTTCACCAAAAGGAAATATAAATGGCTCTTAAGCATATGAAAAAGATGTTCTAACTTACTCATGAGAGAAAGAAATTAAAGTTACACTAAGATAACATTTTCACCGACCAGACTGGAAAAAAACCTAAGGTTAAATAACACATTGTTGGCAAGAATATGAGTATTCAGGCACTTGCCTATATTTTTAGTGGAGTGTAAACTGTACAACCTCTATGGAGAGTAATTTGGTAGTACCTATCAAACTACTATGATATATATACCCTTTGGCCCAGTAATTCAATTTCTAGGAATTTACCCTACAAATGTATTTGCACAAGTATAAAATAATCTATATAACAAAAGTATTTATTGTAGCATTACTTGTAATTTGTATCCCTCAATTGCTAGGAATTTATCCTACAAATATATTTGCACAAGTATAATCTATATAACAAAAGTATTTATTGTAGCATTACTTGAAACAGCAAAAAGATTGAAAACTTCCCAAATGTCCATCAATATGGGGCTGGCTAAATAATGATATATTCACACAATGACATGAAGAGATCTCCAAGATACATTATAAATGAAATATATCTCAGATATATCTCAGATATTTTTCCACTGTTATGGACAGAACTCCAAGATACACTATTAAGTGAAAAAGGCAGAACAATACGTGTAAGCTTCCATGTGTATAAAAAAGGAAAGGGAAACAGAATTTATATTTGTAGTGTCTTGGAAATGCATTAAAAAACTCTGGAAGGATCTCGGCACTTTGGGAGACTGAGGCAGGCAGACTGCTAGAAGTCAGGAGTTTCAGACCACCCTGGCCAACATGGTAAAACCCCGTCTCTACTAAAAACACAAAAATTAGCCGAATCTGGTGGCTTGCACCTGTAGTCCCAGCTCCCAGCTACTCGGGAGGCTGAGGCGGGAGAATCTCTTGAACCCAGGAGGCAGAGGTTGCAGTAAGCTAAGATCGCACCACTGCACTCCAGCCTGAGCAACAGAGAGAGACTCTGTCTCAAAAAAAAAAAAAAAAAAAGAACAATAACAACAACTCTGGAAGGAGGGTCATTTAGTAGGGGACCGGAGTGGAAAGTAAACTTCTCATTTCTAAATGCTTTGTCATTTGAATCATGTAAATGTATTATCTTTTCAAAAATTAAATCTTAACATGTTTAAATATGTTAAGTAGATATAAGTTGAGTTCCTAGTTAACACCCTACATGTAAGCCTCTCAGTCTATGGGTGATAGATATTAGACAAGTAACTATGCACTCGGAGGCCTTGAATAGTAACATCTAGAACTGGAAAGCAAAGTGAGGATTACAGTTGGAAATCAATTAGAGTTGAGGAACTCACTGATGAATAGGTTATATATGCCGCCCAGGCAGAGACAGTGAAGAAAAGAGAAAAGAACACAATCTTGTGAAACTATCGCAGCAAAAGTGGCATATCAAAATAGAGAGATAAGCCAGAGATTAATTCCTGGGGGTACCTGGGGTTAAAAAGTAAGGCATAACAATTCCTCAGGACACCTGAATCGGTTCTCAGTTCAAATGCAGATGTCCCAGAGTGCTATAACTCAGGGGTACCTCCCTCAATCTGGGCAACCAGAAGTGTCTGTAGACTCGGTGCAACGGTGGAAGAGGGTAGTGCAGGTGCAGCAGCACAGTGATGTACGCTCCTCTCTTATGCCTAACGAGTGAAACTATCCCAGAAAAGTTCTAAGGCCGTGAGGCTGGTTAAGATAAAGAAAATAGAATATTTTGGATAAAGCTTCCTGCAAACTGCTTTCATTCAATCATCAAATGTTTACGGAGCACCACTCTTCCTCTTAATACCTACTCTTAGCATGCCAAGAACTGCTAAGTACTCAATAAGTTCATCCCAAAGAAGATTCATCCCAAATACATAGATCCAAGATAACTGAAACAAAAAGACATTTTTAAAGACATTGAGACAACAGAAGCTGTTCTCAAAAAAATTTTTTAACTATGGAAAAGTCAATTTGACAACTATGAAAGACTACAGTAACTGGATCTCAAATTTTGTCCGGTTTATGCTATTGTTTTAAAAAATGAAACCGGTAATTTAACATGCAAATTTCCAGAATTTAGAAAAAGTTACATAGTTTATTTCAATTTTACTAAACTTAAGTAGCAGAAATCTTTAAAATATGGCTTTCTATTCTCCTCATCACAATTGATAAAACAGGAAAACATAACTGGAAAAGGGAACTAATTCAGAACAGATGTCAGGGAAGAATTTTTCCAGTAGTGAACTATAAACATGCAGAATAAATACTGGAAAATGTATTATGGTAAAAAAATCAGAATCAGTTACTAATTGCATGATCTAAAGAGGAAACCAGATACCTAAATATGTAGAATAGGCATTTAAAAAATAGATAAACCATGTTTTCACTATCTAAACCTAACTAAAATGATACCTCAACCTGTAATCTGTTAAAATTCAGATACTTCCCAATGCCTACAAAGTGAGCTCTTATTTATCTATAAAGGTCTATCCATCCACAAACCTAACAAGTTTGCAAATAGAGCCTACTGTATTCATCCTGGTTGTTTTGCCATTTTTTTTTTTCAACTTAACACCTACTTGGTACTTTCCTTGTGATCTGCCTTCTCACTATTTCACTATTTATTTACACTCCGAAGGGAGATGTAGACTTGCAACCCCACCATCATCAAGCCTTTTCTAGAAAGAAGCAGAAAAAGGACAGTTCTGCCTCCACTGCTACACTTAAGAAATGGTTTGTGCTTTGCATGCAGTGAGGATCAGAAAGGAACTGAAGAGGAGCAAACAACAGAATCCATTCCAATGAAAGTTTGCTAATTTGTATGAAGTCAATTTGTGACTCATCCATATTCAAATGAAGGCACAAAAACAAATTCCAAAGCTAAATATAAAATGACTTTTGGACTATCCAGGTTTCTGCTCATTTCTACTTCATGGACAGAAGGCTGTGATGCTGGCAGCATTAACTCTCTCAGGCCACCAAGATCCCACTCAGTGGCTATAGTTCATTACCATGCAGGCCAAAGCAGTTTAATATAACATTACTACTAAAAGCACATGTATTGTATACAAGACAGTTTGTAAGTCTCCTGGCCATAGCAATCACTTTAGGAGACCAGGGCACAGCTGATTCACAATATTTAATGTGTCTAAAAAAGCATTCAACTTTAGAACTTGAAATTTCCTTAAAGATCATAAAGTGAGCCCAACACTATCATTTTACAAATAATATTTAGGCCCCCCGAAAAGATGAACTTACCCAAGGCTGGGCACCTTCATGGCAGCAAAGCCAGACCCAGGCCTCTGAGAAGCAGTCTAGTACTTTTTGTGATATATAGCATCTCACTGTTGGAGAATATGCTGAAGGAACTGAACTTGTATGTGAGGCAATCTTTTTGGTTTTTTTCAGAGTGGAAATGATGGGAAAGGGTTATGCAGTTATATTTGGAAAGAGGTATTTACTTCATCCATCAACTCTAGTTAAAAGGCAGATCTTGTTTCGTAGGCATAAATAATATCCTGAATTGGTTTATCACACATGAATAATAACTTTTCTCCCCCAGATTATTGAGGTCTTCCAGAGTTTACCAATGATTGAGGAAAACATGACTAAGAAATAAACTATCTTTTTAACCAGACTGCAAGCCTGTCCTGACTCTTATTATTTCTAATGGATGAAAAGACATTATTTAATGAGATTTTAAAGTAATATTGGCACTTATACTATTAAGTAATCTTTCCATCTCAGGTTTCTACTTTTTCCAAAATTTTCTACAATTAGAAAGTCTTTCCTGATCTACTATGTTACTTTCTCCTTGTTAAAGTAAACTTTAATATTCAGTCATTGATATTAATATTCAATCATATTGAGCTTCTATCTAAAAATTCTAAAAAATCGTAATCCAAAATTGTTTTGCTCATTTTACTTCTGCATATAGTAGCATGCAAACCTATTTCAATATATTTTGGAAAAGATGAGATTCAAGAATTTTCATATTTAATTGGTTATACAAAAATGTCACGGTTCGCAATTTTCCAAACCTTAAAAACTTTTTTCTAAAAGAAGTTGATATTAACATTTCCTAGCCTACAGCATCTAGTTCATAAGTGAGAGAAAGCAGCATAAGAGAAAGTACAAATAGAGGGGAAAGAGGTTAGAATTAGAGTCAAACCAAAAGTCTATCAGGAAAAAAAAAATCATAGCAAATCTTCCTACACAGATACAATAGATAAAGACAAACTGCCATTTTCTTGTTATCACCACGCAGCTGTCTGGGCTTGTGGCAGGCACCTTGATAAAGTATGTTCTATCTGGAGTATCAAGTTGAAGTAAAGAAAGCAACCAATAAATAAACTTATACATGCCCACTCGTGCCAAAAATACCCTATTCCAGCCAGGCATGGTGGCACATGCCTGTAATCCCAGCACTTTGGGAGGCAGAGGCGGGCAGATCACTTGAGGTCAGGAGTTGGAGACCAGCCTGGCCAACATGGTGAAAACCCCATCTCTACTAAAAATGCAAAAATTAGCCAGGTGCGGTGGCAGGCACCTGTAATCCCAGCTACTCCAGAGGCTGAGGCAGGAGAATCACTTGAACCCGGGAGGTGGAGGTTGCAGGGAGCAAAGATCGTCCCACCTGGGTGACAGAGCAAGACTCCATCTCAAAAAAAAAAAAAAAAACACTAATCCATATAATTTGTTACTTATAATATGGCTATTCTCTCTATTCATATCCAAATTAAAGGAGGCAATATTTTATGGACATTTACTGTCCATATCGAACATTCTTAGGTGCCACAGGGATTTCAAAGATGTGTGGGGTATGCTTTTGAAGCTTACACTTTGACAAGGGAATAGACCATGGACACAAGAGCACAAAAAGAAGGCAGAAAAATAAGAACTTTGTGAAAGACTCTGTGAAAGACTTTGTAAAGTAAATCTGAGTTCACTTCTTGGGCTAGTTTTAGAGGAAGAGTAAATTTCAATTAGTGGAGAAGAAGAGGAAGGAGGGGATGCCATAAAAAGGAAAACTATCAACAAATGTGGGAGGTTGAAAGGAAGTTTGAAGAACAGTGAGAACACCAGTTTGACTAGGACAGGAAAATTCTGTGGAAATAAAAGAGGCTCTAGGTTTGATTTTGGAGAAAATATCCAGCTGCTGAAGACTTTTGAGGCCAGAAGTTATATAACAAAATCTAAATTTTAGGAAGACTAATCTGGCAATGATGGAATTGATAACGAATGGCAAGCATGTAGGTCAGATAGAAACTTACTATAATGATTGCAGGTTACTGAGCCAGGTACATCTCGTGTATAAATCAATGTCAGCTGAAGTTACTAAATTTTATATATGTACCTTAAATATAGTATAGAACTTCTACATTGATTCCACAAAACTTGAACTTACAATTTTTTACTTTTCTTTCCTGTTTTCACCCTAGGTAACAACTTCTGGCTTAGAATTTTTATTTCACCATTCCTCACCCAATATTTGCATTAATAAGAAATCATCATCTCTATATATTAGTAAAAGCAATAAGATTATACGTCTTTACTTCATCAGAAGAGCATTTAAAGCAATTTAAAACAATTGCTTTATATCACACATAAGTTTCCCCCAAATTTCATATTTTATTTTCTAAGAGAAATAGTTCTTTCTTGCAGGCAGATTAGGCCTACAAATCCAAAACAAAATGAAAGGTAACTATCCAGTGAATCCGTAATGGTTAATTTAGATACTTCTTTAACAGGCTGGCTGCTATAAGCATCATGAAAGCAGAAACTTAACTTCGTGTATGTAAACTAGTGACATATAAATGTCTCTCTTCTGTTATAGAAAAAGGACTGAGCCAAGAAAGTTTTCAACGTTTCACAGATTAAGGTAGTCTTATTTGATTTCCTAAAAGAAGAGATAAAAAAGTTAATAAAATTTTTTAAAAAGGAAATTGAGATTACTGAAATAGTCACATTACATGTGCCTTACAGAATATTATGCCTGGTTTCTAATAAATCCGACTTTTGAAAAGGAATAGAGCAGTAGATACTAATTCAAAAAAAAAAAAAAGACTCGAGAAAAACTAATTCTGTTTGGGTCACCTAAAGAACAGCATACGTTTAGGGACATAGGATTAAGCAGAGGATGGTGTCTCCGTCTACGAGACAGCTGTGTCTCTGCTTCCATGAATTTCCATTTGAGTTTCAAAAGGCTGCCACTCAGTGACCTCTCCAGCAGTCAGTCCCCCTTCCTACCCCGAGAAGCACTGAGCCACGAACAGTTGATTGGCTCAGGGAGGTCAGACAACAGCCCTCAGTCTAACAGAGCAGTCCAGGAACAGATATTGGCCACTTGATAGGAAGAAAAGGATGTAAAGGAGTAAGGATGTAAAGGAAGGAACGGATGTAAAGGAGTGAGGCTGTAAAAAACAGAAAAGGATGTAAAGGAAGGTGGAGGGGAGAAGGGAGGAGGATGCACAGAAGTAACCAAGATAGAGGTCCAGAAGACACACCCACTCAAAGAGAGGAAACTTTGCTTGGAGGTTCTCAGCCAGGGAGAAGAGTTTTTTTGTTTTGTTTTGTTTTAAATTTAGGTAAACAAGGATACTGCTTTGAAACGGTCACTGGAGCCCAACTCATATGAACAATTTAGCAGCTTTATAACAACCCTGAGTGGGCAAGGACCTTTCATACATATTAACATTTAGAAAATGTAGTTTATTGAATAAATTCATTGAAAGATGTCATGTTTCCTAAAAACTGTACCTAATTTTAGGGTTCCTGCTTACAGTGATTCCAGTTCTACATGAGAGTTTTAATTGAAGGAGGATTAGGGGGGTGAGGGAGGTGCAGAACACAAATGAAATTTTTACAGCATGGAAATAAAAGTATTTTTAAATCTTCTTGGGGGTGAAGAGTTAGGCAAGAAGTAATACGTGGAAACTGTCAAGTGCTTCTCTACACATCCACCCACCAGATACCATCGCAGCCGGCTGGGGGAGTCTCCCTCTTCTTGCCTGACAGCTTCACTTTCTTTGAGATCTGGAGCTGGTGATCACACTGGCCCGTCATGGTATTTTCAGTTAACAAAGCAGTTACTCAACGGGGCAAAAAGCCACAAAGGAGCAGAGCAGCTGCTGCTGCACCCGTGATGCAAGTGCAGGATGAGCCCCGGGCCGCCACCGCCGCCTCGGCTCCTCCGTGACGTCCGGGAAGGGTATCCCCGGCACTCAGGAAGTGGTGGCCGCGGGCAGCTCCGCCCCCACGCGACTCGGGGCTGGCCGAGCTGCCGGGTGGTAGAACCGCCGGGCCTTCCGCAGGGCGGGCGGGGATCACCGTCTCCCCACCTCCGTGCGCACACACATGCACGGGCCTCGCGCCCCGCTGTCGCCCGCGCCTCGCCCTGCTCACTTCTCACAGCCCGCGCCGGACGAAGAGAGCCGCCAGCGCCCCCCCTCTCTCCCACGGCTCGCACCCACTCACCCCGACCCCCGGCGCCGAGCCCGGCCCCTCGTCGCCGGTCACCAGACCTGGTCGAACCGAGTCCAAGATGGCGACTCCGCCCCCGCCCCCTCCGCACTCCCGGCGGGGTCAGGGCGCCCCCTCACGCGGCGGGCTCGCGCCCGAGACCCGGCTAAAAATAGCCAGGCCCGACTATATTTGGTTCGGCCGGATCCTGGCGCGGCCGCGCGCTCCCCGCCCCGCCCCGCCCCGCCCCGCGCGCCCTGCCCCGCCCCGCGCGGCGTTGAATGGAGAAGGGGCGGGGGTGACCGAGGGGAACCTACTCCGCTATCTGCGGCGCGCGCCGGCGGCGGGTCCCGGCCAACCGCCGAATTTAGTAACATCGCCTGCGTCAATCACGCGCCTCGCGTGCGTCAGCGCCGCGCGGCTCCAGGTCCTGCTCCCCCCCTTCAAGCCTTTGAATGGATACAATGTAGCAGCGCCCTCCTTCCTTCCGAGGCTGGATTGGAACCCGCCGCAGTGCAGAGACTCGGTTGCTCTCGGCTGGGTCAACTTTCGGGGCATTCTCCCACGATCCTCTCCGCACCACCGTGTCTGAATTGGAAGTGGAGGCGAAGAAAGATATACATGCCATATTTACCTATATGTAGTTTGTTTTCAAGTTTCTGGTCCTAGCTCGAACCTTCTTCGATTCTGAAATGTGTGCTGTCTACAAAGGAATCTTGTATCTCCCCTCGGCGCAGCGCCCCCCGCCCCCGCCACACACACACAAATTGGGACAGGTCAAACATATAAAACGGTATTTGTGATTCAAGCGGACCACATGGGGACCACTCTATCTGCATTGTTTCACTCAAATATTTTCTCCTGTCCAAAAATTCATTTCTGAAAGAGACTGCGTTCACTCAGCAGCAACCTTTGGGACTAGGGGTCTTTAACTCTGATAAATTTTGTTTTCATCAAGAAATTTACACTTAAATTTATCATTTCCAGGAAGAAATTGCTCTCCTTCATACAGTCACCCAGGCTTTCGGCACACCATTTCATGACAAATGTGTCCGAGGAGACCAAAGCAAATCCCCTAGCGAGGGACTGACTAATAAGTCCTGTTGATTGATTTCGAAATGTTTAATTTGGGAGATGTGGGCGGAGGGCATCTACAACCATCAAAAAGTGAAAGTGCTAGTTGAGAGTTCCATTTCTGACCCGGTGCCGGGGAGGAGGAATGATTTGCAATAGTCAGACCCGCTCAGCTGTTCAACACGTGTGTGTTTGTTTTACACACAGAGTAGTTTCTGCTGCAGCGCGCGTGTGCATGATGGATGTGCACTTCGCTGGGTTATAACGTGTCCAGTTAAGAAACCCACGCCGTACGTGTAAAGAAATCAAACCTTATCCCCGGAACCATCTGCATCCCTGTGTGAAACACGCACCCAGTAAATGATGCGGGGAGGGGGGATTAGCCTGGGCGCAGAGGACCGGAGCAACGTAAACAGCTTTAGAACCTATGCAAGAGGAAAGTGCAGCTGCACCTCAGGGCGTCTTCGGGCTGGTGCCAGACGCCTTCTGCACCGGCTGCCAGGTCACTGGAGCTGGTCAGAAGCTGGCTGGCGGAGCCTTCCCTTTCGGAAGAGCTGTCCTCTCCCTTACCCCCCTCGCCCTGGCTCCGTGCCTCGGGGCAGCCTCGGAGGCGCGCCAGCAGCACTCCTCCAACTCTACTCCACCCGAGCCTGACAGCTGGGCGGTCCCGCCTGACCCGTGGGCAGGCCGCTGCACCCTCCCGCAGACGCACGCCCTGGCGAGCGGTTCCGCTGCAAAAAGAGAAGCCCCCAGGCCGGGGCCGGCCGTGCGGCGGAGTTTCCATTGTGCGGCCGTGCGACTGGCCGAGGAACGCGCGCGCGCGCGCGCGCACACGAACACACACACCCTCCCTCGCACACGCGGAACCGGCTGGGCCAGGGGAGGGAGGAGGAGGGTGACGTAGCGTCCCATGGCGTCACATTGACGTCTCGCATTCCAGGCACTCTATGGAGAGGCCGCTAGGGCTCCTGTGGCATAAATGACGTGCCGAGAGAGCGAGCGAACGCGCAGCCGGGAGAGCGGAGTCTCCTGCCTCCCGCCCCCCACCCCTCCAGCTCCTGCTCCTCCTCCGCTCCCCATACACAGACGCGCTCACACCCGCTCCCTCACTCGCACACACAGACACAAGCGCGCACACAGGCTCCGCACACACACTTCGCTCTCCCGCGCGCTCACACCCCTCTTGCCCTGAGCCCTTGCCGGTGCAGCGCGGCGCCGCAGCTGGACGCCCCTCCCGGGCTCACTTTGCAACGCTGACGGTGCCGGCAGTGGCCGTGGAGGTGGGAACAGCGGCGGCATCCTCCCCCCTGGTCACAGCCCAAGCCAGGACGCCCGCGGAACCTCTCGGCTGTGCTCTCCCATGAGTCGGGATCGCAGCATCCCCCACCAGCCGCTCACCGCCTCCGGGAGCCGCTGGGCTTGTACACCGCAGCCCTTCCGGGACAGCAGCTGTGACTCCCCCCCAGTGCAGATTTCGGGACAGCTCTCTAGAAACTCGCTCTAAAGACGGAACCGCCACAGCACTCAAGTACGTATGAGATTCGCCCAGTTAATAAGGGGACTTGCTAAAAAAGTTGGCTTGCTGGGAAGCGTCGCTCCTGAAATTGACAACTTTGAGTGTGGGGTTCCCTCCCCTGACCTTGCCGCCCGGCTCCGGCTTTGCTAGCCCAGCGGCCCGTAGGTTCTGATCTGAAACTTTTCCCCTGTAGTGGGCCCGCGGGGATCTCTGGAGCTCGTGGGATTCCTCCCCCCACTCGAAGAGGCGAAAAGCCTCTAACAAAGAGGAGGACCGGGATTTGTGCTATAGCGGCTCCAGCGATGTAATTCAGGGTATTTCGGCTC
The DNA here is from genome assembly GCF_000001405.40 of Homo sapiens. NCBI lineage: Eukaryota > Metazoa > Chordata > Mammalia > Primates > Hominidae > Homo > Homo sapiens. The sequence continues at coordinate 99,822,722 of NC_000009.12, forward strand.
TAGTTGTCATGGTAATGATGCTCTCGGCGGCGGCGGCGGCGGCGGCAGCGGCAGCGGCAGGGAGTTGCAGCTCCGGTGATGAACGGCAGTAATTTTCCTGCCTTTTAAGTAGGATTGAAAATAGGAGCTCTGGTGGGTCCAAGTAAATGTTGCTAATGGTGGCACCGAGCTGGTTCTCTGGAAGGAAGCTTAGGAGGGAAGGGCCTAGGCAGCGACGGCCAGAGTTTGCAGACGCACTCGGAGGACCTCAGGAAAGAGGGCGTAATTGTAGGAATGTGGCTTATTGTATTGAAATGAGCCTGGGGTTCCACTAGGCACGTCTGCCTGTCGTCGCTGACATGCCGGTTTACACTTTTCCCTTAGGAGGTAAATCGGGTGTAATTGGCGACTCCCGCACACTGACACGTGTGGGGACGGTGTCCCTCTCCTCTGGACGTTGGCTCGGTGTGGGAAAGGCATGCTTTTTCACGGACAGAACTCGCGCTTTTGGAGAAGTTGCTCCGAGTGTTTTACTCTTAGTAGAAATGAAAGTTCTCGGTGGTGAGACGAGAGCGGTCATGCGAGCGCAGCCTGCGGAGACTGACTTCCAAAGGCACCTCTCCAACCTGTTGGAAGCCTCGGGGCAGTGGTGAGGAAGAACGCATTTGTCCCTTGATTTCCAAAAACGTTCTTGGAGATTGCCTTTTATTTATTTATGCGTCCGGATTCTCCAGAGGGAAGAGCTGCGAGGAGTTAGTAATCAGAAATGTCGGGCTGTGATCCCAGGGCCTTGTGGTGCTGGGAGAGAAGAACAGGGAGCCGTCATTCCATCGCGAGTCCAGTGCCGGATCTCCTTTTCCCACGACCGGGAAATATTTTATAGAATCAAGTTAGGGAAAGAAAAAGCTGCCTAACGTGGCTGATGGGCACAATGAATGAAGTTACTTTATTCGAGTTATTTTCGCTGAACAAGATGCTCGCAGAGTTAGTATCAAAGCCTCCTTAGGCCACAGCAACCTCCACGTCCGCTCCGCCCCCCACCCCCCGGCACCCATCCACCCCTTTGCCTGGGACCGTGCGCTCACAGAAATTCTTCCCCGCGGTTTGTCTAGTCTCCCTCGGTCTTTCTGAGAATCTCAGTCTTTCCCTTTCTGTCAGTCTCTCCCTCGCTCCTCTTGCCCCCGCCCAACCTCCGCCCCCGCTCCCCAGGGTTGGAAACTCCGCAGAGGAGCCCCGGTCACAATGGTGCGTTTCACGGTTTCCTCCACACACTTCACCACCGGGAGGGGAACACGGGGGTGTTCCTTTCGTCTGCCCACGAGAAAGAAAGGGGCTTTGACAGAGGTAGTTATTTCTTCCTAATTTACAACCCCAAGGCTCTGTGCTCCCGGCCCCGGCGGCCGCAAGCAGGAGCGGCGGAACGTGTTTCCAGGCACTGAGGCTTTGCCTAGGTAACCGGCCGCTTGTGGGGTGGAGAGAGCGGCGGGGCGCTGGGCTGGGCTGGAGGAAAGGCTGTGTGGGTCCCTCCCGCGAACGCTGGGCGCTCGAGGGGAACTCCTTCGTTGGGGAGAGGCGGTCCCCGCCCACCCGAGTTCTGAGGCCTCCTCTCAGAGAACGACTCCGCTTGAAAGGCCCTCAGGGAATGCGGGACGGGAATGCGGGCACCCACTGAAGGGGCGGGTGGGGGATTGCTGGAGACCCCCATTGAAGATGCGGGGAGACGGGAAGCACGTGCTACAGCCGTGGGAAGATCCGCTTCTACCCGCGCTACATCGAGCGCAAGCTTTCCGTCCGAGCAGCTCCAGCTGGGGCTGGGGGTGGCAAGGGAATCCCCCATTTCCTGGTCGTCGAGGGTTTCCTGGACCTGGGAGCCCCGAGTCCCTTTCTCTCTTCCTGCAGGCAAGCCCCGGGCTCAGGGGCGCCAGGAGATGACCCTCGTGGCCCCGCGCACCTCGGAGGTTTTTGGTTTGGTTTGATTTGGGGTTTTTCGGTCCCTGTTCCCACTCTTCGAGCTGCGCCCACCCCGGGCAAAGGGGGCGCTATAGGCCGGAGTTTGGGCACCCAGTTCCTTCCCTGAGGCCTGCTGAGCTGCGCTTTCAGCTACAAAGTTTCGCTGAGGCTGTGGGCTGAGACGCTGGTCCCGGAGCTGCGCTCGGCGCCCTCAGGAATGTGCCCCCGCTAGGCCGCTGGGTGGCCAGGAGCCTCCAAGCCGCCCACCCTCGAAGACACCGCCCTCTGGGTGCAGGGGACCTGCCTCCGCTCGTCCCATCAGCCGCTAACGCCGTCCGCTTCGTCCCCTTGCTTCCAGCGCCAGCCTTCTCATCGCTGTGCCCTTTTGTTTGCTTGACCCCTGGCCCTCGAAACTCGCGGCTAATAGAAGCGAAGCTCCATTAGCATTTAGAATGAAAAGCGCAGACTTTCTTAATTCCTCGGGGCATTCATGCATTCGTTCCGGACCTTGTGCATTTCCTATGCAACGTGTAAAATTTGTATTTGAGGGGTGGGGGCGGGCGGAGCTGGAAAATGGCTTTTTTCCGCTGGTGAACACTCACTGACCCCCCGTATTCGGGCGGAGCTCGTTCCTCAAGTGTTCTGCTTTCTTTGGTTTTCCTGACTTCGTAAGCTCGGAATCAATTGTGGGGGCAGAGAGATCAATTTCTGGGCAATAACAGGCTGCGCGTTTTTTTTTTAGCCTCGGTTTTGGTGCCACAAAACGGTGGTAGGCGCAGTGGGTTCCAACAACCTTTCCTCGGCTTCCCCGAGGCCGTGTGATGCTTCTTGCCCAGGGGGACTCCTGTACCATTAATCACCCTTAATTTTACGATAATTCTTTGTAATTAATGTAACATTTCTAGAGGTTGCCAACCAATTCCCCCAGTCCCCAATGCGCCCAGCCCGGGCCGTAGTGACCCATCCTGGTCTCACTGTGACCTATGTCCTCTTTCACCTTGCCTGTAGAGCCCACTGCGGAAGAGGGCAGCCCGGCAAGCCCGGGCCCTGAGCCTGGACCCTTAGCGGTGCCGGGCAGCACTGCCGGCGCTTCGCCTCGCCGGACGTCCGCTCCTCCTACACTCTCAGCCTCCGCTGGAGAGACCCCCAGCCCCACCATTCAGCGCGCAAGATACCCTCCAGGTAGGTCCGAAGGCAAGACCCTTTTCTCCTCCCTGGCTGAGGGAAGTGGGTGGGGGAACCACACACTCGGCGGGCAGCGTGGTCGACCTGCCCAGTGCCAGGACAGTGACTGCTGGCCGCGAATTTCACAACACAGGTGGCTTCCTCACAGGAAGCTCCTCTGTATACCACACCCTGTTGCTACTGAGTGGAGCAGCCAAATTAAATTAAGCTTGCATTGCTCAAAATTAATTTTCCTAAGAGAAATACAAATACACCAATAGATTAGGGTATTTTATACATTTTTAATTTCATTTTTGCTCTTCTTTTATAGCCAGTGTGCACATGTAAGAGTTATGGAATCACTTAGAGCAATACTGAGCATTTTCATTTATATAAAACCCAAATCATTTGGGTGCAGAAGTTTGGATGATTGAAGCTCAGAGGGAAGGAGAAAAGCATTTGAGATGAAAACCAAAGAGTAAATTTGAGTTTGGCAAAAGAACAGATTGCACTTTTGGTTTGTACCACCTCTTTACAAATTTGTTAAAGGAATACTAGGTGCCAAGCCTGTGTGGGCACCATAGATAATGCAGATAAATAGAATACAATCCCAGCAAGCTCATCTTCTAGCTAGAAACCTCAGAAAGACACAAATAAGAGCAGTAAAAAGGGATTGGCCGGAAAGAATGACAGAAAAGAGTAATGGAGAAATCCTAGAGGTGCTGAAGGGAGAAGGAGAATAGATCAAAGATCAGGCAGTGTTCTTTCTTTTAAATGATTAGCCTTTCATTTCATCCCAACAACTGGACAGCAAGATAAGTAACTGGACTTCAAACTAGTGAGTGTATTTTTAAGGCCCTGCTTGTTAAAGAAAGGCTTGAACTGGCCTCTCCTCATCACTGCTTCTTCCAACAGGCCCTCATCACCTTTTTTCAAGTCAAGATTTCATCCCATACATGCATGACTCAATCAGATTTGGAAATGTGGGTAAGAGAAAGATGTCAAAGGAAATGTGAAGTATTCACTTCTCTATTAGTCACACCTTTTACACCATAGACTCCAAAGAGGCGTTAAGCACCTGGTTTTCCTTTGGCTCAGAAAAACCAACCACCAAAAACCGCCGTTTTTTACCATTTATATTTAGCCATAAAGAAAGAAAAATAATTAGATAAATCATCCACTACATCCAATAATTCTCAGCGCCTTCTCACTCAGTTCAGCCTCTCTGAACAATAGTAAGCACCCTGGATACCAGCCACTTTGGGGGCAACATAGTCAAACTGGCAGAGAAATCAAGTCTATTGAGAAACTGCTTTTTTTCATGGGTACTAATTCTAGTGTCATAAGGAAATACCTATACTAACTTGCCTATTATGATAGTTATAAACTGTTATCACAAAACAGTCACTGATATGTTTTATTAGTTAGAATTGGGATATATATATGTGTGTGTGTGTGTGTGTGTGTGTGTGTGTGTATATATATATATATGGGTGGGTGTTTTGTTGCAGCTGCTGATCTTTTTCTTTGCAGATGGTACAAACTCTCCCGAGTCAATTTCCTGGGCCTATGTCCCCACCTAGCTGACTGAAGTTATCAACAGGGGTCCAGTTTGTGCAGGCTGCTAGCCCTATTGGAAGAGTGGGGATGAGGTGGGAGAAAGCAACCACAACGTGTGTGGGCAACCTCAATTGGCACTCATAAAATGTTAGAATGTCAACTCTCTCCCTTGGCCACTAAATCTCTCACAGGGTAGTTTTTCTTGCCTAACTCAGGTTTACAAATCAATGTGTATGCCTTGGGGGACCAATGGCCTCTTTCCTCCCAAATAAACCACTGGCTTTCTCTTTGTCCCCCTAGGTTATAGCTGAGGAGCCCACTCCAATTAGTTTATAGGATTCAAAGCCTCTTTTTAAAAACATCTCTGAGCTTATGAGGAAAGACTTCAAGTTTCCCAAATCTAGTGGAGGACAGGGCAAGGGAGGAAAGATAGGTACAGGAGTCCACAGGAGGCCAGGTTTTGGCACCCCTTTGTCAGGAATTCAGCTTCCTTACTAGGGATGAAGAAAATAAGTGTGGGGCTTTGTGTCTATGCTACCAGAAGGAGGAGAGGATGACACTTCCTCTCTGTTTCCCAGATTAGAGAACAGTGAACCCAATGCTGCCTGTTGGCTAGAAAACAAGTGTTAACTTGCTTCTGAGAGACCCTTTTCTCTGTCCCTGCAGATATGCCCTGCGTCCAAGCCCAATATAGCCCTTCCCCTCCAGGTTCCAGTTATGCGGCGCAGACATACAGCTCGGAATACACCACGGAGATCATGAACCCCGACTACACCAAGCTGACCATGGACCTTGGCAGCACTGAGATCACGGCTACAGCCACCACGTCCCTGCCCAGCATCAGTACCTTCGTGGAGGGCTACTCGAGCAACTACGAACTCAAGCCTTCCTGCGTGTACCAAATGCAGCGGCCCTTGATCAAAGTGGAGGAGGGGCGGGCGCCCAGCTACCATCACCATCACCACCACCACCACCACCACCACCACCATCACCAGCAGCAGCATCAGCAGCCATCCATTCCTCCAGCCTCCAGCCCGGAGGACGAGGTGCTGCCCAGCACCTCCATGTACTTCAAGCAGTCCCCACCGTCCACCCCCACCACGCCGGCCTTCCCCCCGCAGGCGGGGGCGTTATGGGACGAGGCACTGCCCTCGGCGCCCGGCTGCATCGCACCCGGCCCGCTGCTGGACCCGCCGATGAAGGCGGTCCCCACGGTGGCCGGCGCGCGCTTCCCGCTCTTCCACTTCAAGCCCTCGCCGCCGCATCCCCCCGCGCCCAGCCCGGCCGGCGGCCACCACCTCGGCTACGACCCGACGGCCGCTGCCGCGCTCAGCCTGCCGCTGGGAGCCGCAGCCGCCGCGGGCAGCCAGGCCGCCGCGCTTGAGAGCCACCCGTACGGGCTGCCGCTGGCCAAGAGGGCGGCCCCGCTGGCCTTCCCGCCTCTCGGCCTCACGCCCTCCCCTACCGCGTCCAGCCTGCTGGGCGAGAGTCCCAGCCTGCCGTCGCCGCCCAGCAGGAGCTCGTCGTCTGGCGAGGGCACGTGTGCCGTGTGCGGGGACAACGCCGCCTGCCAGCACTACGGCGTGCGAACCTGCGAGGGCTGCAAGGGCTTTTTCAAGGTGAGCGCACGCCGCCCCCTCCCCTCCGCACCCAGCCCCCTCACTGAAGGGAGCTTCTAAGTGAGTGTAGGAGCATCCTTGTTCTTCCCGGTTTGAGAGCTGTAATCGGCACATCATGCTTTCCTACAGCCCTTCCTAGCACCTTCACATCCATTTTCTCAGGGGCTTTCTACTGAGGTCCATGTGCAGCAGGCCACCCCAGACGGACTCCGGGGGTCCGTGAACCTCCTGGCCTGACACTGCCCTATGAACATTTTTCTGGAGAGCTTTCAGCAGAGTCTTAAAAGGACCTGTGACTTCGAAAATGCAAAAACCTCATTGCTTTGTCTGTCCATCCAGGGTGTCTGAGGGGATAGTGTGTGCGTACCAAGCCCTGGACATTTGTGTCTCATTTAATCCTTACAGTAAGAGCTGGGGCTCTAGAGTCAGACACATCTAAGATTGAATTCTGGCCACTCACTAGCTATTTTTAGTAACAGTGTTTTAAAACAGTGTTTTAATTTTCTTTGTTTTGTAGATGAGGATGTTGAGGTTTGAAGAGGTTAATCAGCTGCCTCAGGACACACCTTCAGAGAAGGGAGATGGAGGCAGGATGCCAACCCACGTTTGCGTGACCCCAAAGTCCATTCCCTTTTCACAGCTCTGCAGCTCTAGGAGACAGGGACAACTGTCTTCTTCTATGGAAAGAGCTGCCTCTTTCCATAGAAGATAGAACTTGGGGTCTTGTGTCCTCTAGGAACCTTTCCCTACCTCTGTATCACATGCGGTGCCAGGTGTAGACATAATTCATTCCCTCATAGGCCTAACGGAGAAATTTTACAGTGGGAGGGCCATCAGCCTCCCCCATATTTTACCCACGAGGAAGCTGAGGCCTGGAGCGGTGAAGCCTTATGCAGGCTGTAAGCAGTGATTTAACTGCCCATGAGATGTTTCCAGCTGATTTGTCCTGACTCCTGAGTTCAGTGTTATTTCTGCCACTTAGGGAAAAGACCTTGCTCTTTTGCTGTGCTACCTTTTGCTGTTGACTCCCAGACTTTATCAGACACTTACTTCTGTGCCATCCTTCTCACTCCTCACCCCACTGGCCATTATTTCAGTCATTTACAAACCCACACAAATTATTCCTTATCCTCTAGTGCTGGACAGGGTAGAAAGAAAGAGAAAGCAGGATGCTGACTGGGTAACTTGGATTTGGGAGGCCAATAGGATATATCTGGGAGTACACCAGAATTAGTGAGAGAAGACTCAAATAGAAGACCTTGATCTTCCACCTTCCAATTGTATCATGTTGGGCATGACACTTCATTCTAAGCCTGTTTCCCTATCAATGAATAAAACTCAGAGAAGAGCTGTGTATTCAATGAGATAAAAATATATATGAAAGTGCTTTATAATCTTTAAAGAGCTGTACAGATAGTTCATTATTAAACAAAAGCTATAAAGTTTTGTAAAAATGCACATTTGTGGAGGGATATACATAGCAACAAGCAACAATTATTTTTGATCTTCAGATTGTAAATATCACTACCTGAATTCTGCAGAGAAATGAGAAAATGTTTGGGGAAAGACTGCAATACGTTAAGTGCCCTACAGATATTTGGGATTATGATGTTTTAAATGCAGAATCTTGGTCATTTTATTTTATTTTTTAGCCACTGAGTTTGGCCATTTTTTGTTTTAACTACTCAAGCTTTATCAGAGCTACTTTCAAGTAACTGCATTCCTTTAGCAGATTTGATTTTTACAGGATTTCAGTGGAAAATGCTGAAGGACAGTGAAACTGGCAGCAGAAAGGGGGAAAGAAAAAAACAAGAATTATGAATAATCTACAAATATAATTATCTCTAAATAATGGAGAGTTGACCAAAATACCAGAGTGGTAATACATTCTGAGTCCAGAAATGTCAATTAAGTGTTCCCCAACAGCTTCTCTTTTCTGCAGCAATCCCTCGAAAACAAATCTATACTTGAAAGGGTGGGGGCAAGATGGGGGAGAATCACCCCACAGAACTGTTAATTAAGGGAACCGGAGCAGGTTTTACCCAGTGGCTTTCTACCATTAAATTGAGTTCTTTAAAAATGTGACATGAAGTGCAGTTAATGATAGGAATTCGGTGATTGAACCATAATGATCTCTCCCTGTCCTTAAACACAAATGTAGGGAAGGCTTCAGGTTATTGGGAAAATGTATACCTGAAGCAAAATGCCATCAGCACTCAAATTGGCATAAAGCCTTGAGGATGATGGCAAGAAATAGAGTGTTAGAAATTACTGCATGTTCAATGAAAGCTTTATTCAGGAAACACACGTTTCCTACCCTTACAGACTGCTAAGAATTTAAATGCTGGAACCTCAGAAGTATGCCTGTGTTTCAGAATTTTGCATTTTAAACTAAAATCACCTACTATGGTGGGAGAAACATGTCTTAGACTTGACATAGGTTGGCTTTGTTATATTAAGTTTTATATAAGCAATCTAGAAACTATCCCCTAAAATGAAATTAAAAGGTAACAGGGTAAAACTGAAACATGGGGGTTGAGAATGACTGGAAGTAAATGTTAAAAAGCAAATCTAGATGTTTGAACACAAAATAGATCATAAAGCCCAAGTTACCTGGATTTATTTTCTTTTTTTATTAATGCAGCCCAGGCTTCCCAAATAAATTTCAACTTTCTGCTCTATTTGGAGTTGTATAGATCCAGGTAATTTCTGAACAGTTTCACCCTAAGTGGTAAAAATACGTTCATTTGCACAAATGTTTTCAATTTAAAAAGCAAGCATTTGTTTAAATTTGGAGGACGAAATATGTTTATTTCTCCATGTGTCATTTCCAAATTATATGGATTCTGAAAAATACAACATCATTTTTCTATCCAACCTTAAGTTTTATGATTTTTTTTACAATATGGTTACTGTGTCTATGTCAATAGACATTTATGAAATGACCTATTAATAGGAATTTTCACTGAAAATATATGGCTGTCATATATCTTTCTTTGTCTCATTTTTCGTTTGTACCTTGGGGTTTTTTGTTTTCTTCCTTGGATATAATAATGATTTGTAATAACTACTTTTAAGATTTTGCTTTGAAAAATCAGGAATGGACTGTTTATCATATATGGTCTTTAAAGATAAAATAAGCTATACAGGCTGATTAAGTTAGTTTTTTTGCATTAAAACATTATTTCCTATATGTTTTAATTAGAAAAATCCTGATTTTGGTTTTTATGATTTCATCTCTGTTGGGTAACAAAGCCAGTTACTGTGATATTTGACTTACAATAGTGATAGCAAACAAAGTACATCCCAGATAATTTTGATTTTATTTTAATAAGGTCAGCAATAATCAGGGGAGTGGAACAAGTAGAAAATTGTTCCCAAAGGGATATTAAAAGTGGAGATAATCTAATTCTCCAAGGTATGATATGTTGACCTGGTAATTTCAGATATGATTTTATCATTCAGAGTTGGGTGTCTCCTGAGACTTGCTTTAGAACAATCCGAGATGATTTTCATTGTCAGCAGCTAACACTAATAAAATTGTTTTTCCTGCAGGCTAGCGTTTTAGGAAATTAAATTTATCGAATTATACGAATTGCACTGTCGCTTTTCACATTGTAATTAAAATACATCTTGTCAGGTCCTACCTCTTTCCAGAAACTATCAGTTGACTATCTTGTATTATATTTTCTCAGAGAACAGTGCAGAAAAATGCAAAATATGTTTGCCTGGCAAATAAAAACTGCCCAGTAGACAAGAGACGTCGAAACCGATGTCAGTACTGTCGATTTCAGAAGTGTCTCAGTGTTGGAATGGTAAAAGAAGGTATGGATATAATGCTTTTTACCCAGTTTGCTTATACATATTATCAGAAATCAGTGAAAAAAAGCTAATATTTACATTGGGATGGTGAATTTTTCTAGTTCCTTTTTCCTTTCAACATTTTATTTTTATCATATATATCTACATTTTAAAATAACTGAGGACTATTTATTCTAATTTCTCAAAATTAACAGAGGACTTGTATACATACATCTTTGTTCTATTTAAGAAGGAGACTTTTAGGGCTAATTCATTACCAAATGTAAATATCGGTGGCTTTTATGCTGCTTGTTTCAACTCTCATGAAATCATTGTGTGAATATTATTCCAAACTTATTACCACTTTTAAATGGTTGGTCTCATTAATGATTGCTCAACTGTAATGTGTTTTTATTCCTTTTTGCGATTTATGGTCGTTCATTCCATAATCTTTGAAGATTGTTTTCTTTGTCTCTTTTGGCATCAGTTGTCCGTACAGATAGTCTGAAAGGGAGGAGAGGTCGTCTGCCTTCCAAACCAAAGAGCCCATTACAACAGGAACCTTCTCAGCCCTCTCCACCTTCTCCTCCAATCTGCATGATGAATGCCCTTGTCCGAGCTTTAACAGACTCAACACCCAGAGATCTTGATTATTCCAGAGTAAGTTTTATGATTTCCTGCTTTCAAATGAATGATCAGGGTCTCTATTTATGGCTACTAGTAATAAGAGTTGATTGAATGATTTTGTGTCTGGCACCATGTTAGACAGTTTTCATACTTTTTCTATATTTCTCGCTTCATTTAGCAATTCAGTGCATCCATTGCAGCAAATAATTTTTGCCTTATTGAATCTCTAAATGCCTTAACAAGTGACCCTGACAGTGCTGCACCTGTCATACACATTGTTGCAGGATTCCTGGTGGTTGTGCCAATGAAAATCTGCACAGACAAACTACAATTTGTAGATTTATCTCGTGATCTAGACAAAGTGACTACTGTTTTTTTTCATATTGTGTTCAAACCATCTGGGTGAGCCTCAAGTTATTACTAAGCAGTTTATCCAATTGCATCAGCATTGATTGACCTGCTGCTTATTCAGAGGGATTAGACCATTGGTGGAGAGAAGCGAGCTCTGGCTGTGACATCAGTTGTCAGGAGAACTGGGATGGAACGCCACCTCTGCTACTTCCTGCCTGTGTCACCTGGTTCCTGCTTTTGGCTCTCTCCTGCCTACAGTGGAAATGGCTACAATATTTAACCTCAGAGGGGTGTTCTGAACACCAGTCACACAAGAATGATGGTTGTGAAAATGTTTTTAAGACCATAAATGACGATTGGTGTTGTTATAGTTAAGTCAACCAAAACATATCAACATTTTTATTTCATATGGGATATAGTAAAATCCCATCAGTCTGAACCCTGCAAATTCCTCAAAATTTGGATAACACAGAGAAGAACCATGAGAAAGGATTTCCTGAGCAAATGAATAAACAGCTCTGTAAGGCAATTTCTTTAAAGGACTTAGAAAACTAAACTTCTAGCAAAACAGGGTCTCAATGAAGAGGGAAGAGAAGGAAAAAAAATCACAATTATTGAGCAGTTTCTATATGCTAGACATTGTGGTACATTATCTCATTTAATCCTTTAAACCACCATGAATTGTAGGAATCATTATCCCTCCTACTTGAAGGAAAACAAAAACAAAAACAAAAACAAAAAACCTTAGAAACACAGCTTGCACTCAGATAAAGAAATACCAGTCCAGAGGCCCCCAGTCGGTTGATCTGTCTTGGTGGCTACTACCAAACTGCCCTCCCCAGGTCTAATCAGTGTTTCAAGCTTCTGGCTGAATGGCTGGCAAACAGTGTGAGTGTGTCCCTGCTATGTGCCCTTCTCCTTAGGTTGCAGTGTTGATAGAAATGATTAGTGTACCTGCTGTGATCCTCTTTCCCTCTTCCCCACCCTCATTATAGGCTGCGAAGCCTCCTCTCTGCACCTGATAACAAAACGTCATATGAGAAGCATGGTAGATCCTTAGCATCAAAGGTTGAGGACTCTTATTCTGATTATAAGTAGTGGCTCTTGACTACAATCAAGTCTCAAATAATAGTGTAAGAGAATAAAGCAGAATAATAAGACTAAGTTAACAGTTTAGGCTTCTTTGGAATCATGCGGGCCTAGATGAAAATCCCAACACTGTCCTTTACTAGCTAAGTGACCTTGAGCAACTGATTACACCCTTTGATGCCTCAGTTTTCTCCTCTGTGTTGTGGGGTAATAGTAATATCTACTTCCTGGGGTTGTTCGTGAAGATTAATTAACAATTATACTTGTCAAAGCTTTAGCACAGTGCCCTGTATGTTATTTCCTTGGCCAAACTTTCTTACTCTGCCATTTGTTCAATGTCCTAATGAGCATGAACACTACATTAGGTATCATGCAGAACACTCTAAAGATAAGTATTATGATCTCTATTTCACAGATAAGGAAATTTAAACTGGGAGAGGCTAAAGGGCTGACTTGCCCAAGGTCACTGAACTAATATGCAGCAGAGACAGAATTAGGAGCCAAGTATATTAAGAGCCAAGTGTATTGAACCTAAAATCTGGGCTCCTAAATACCAAGCTTCACTGCCTCTCTGGTTCCAGTGAGAGTGGGTGCTAGAAAAGTATTCAGGAATGAAGAGTTCTCCTCCCAGAAGCACCCTGGCCTCTCCAAAGGCAGTTCATCTGAATTAGTGAAGCTTCTTAGCACTGCCTAGGCTAAGGCTATAGCACACAATCTGACATTGCTCCAGGGCATTTGAAAGCACAATAGATGGTCAGTACAGATAATTTAGGCCTCAAAAGTAATTTTTTGGCCCCAAATTATCCAATTATCAGTCTACATGGCCTAATTAGTCATTCAATGGCAAACCTTTCCCAGCACTTTGAGTTGTCCCAGCTGGGAACTGTCCCCACACTGAAAAATCAATCTAGTGTGTTTGCTTGCCTCTGCACCATTCAGTCTGTTAGTCTAGAGTCATCATCCTCATCAACAAACATTTATCCAATTTAATTGTTAGCTTTGTCCAAAATAGCAGATTGACCATGCCAGAGCCTGGGTCACATTGGTACTACCTTTGGGGCCTGGCTCAATTTTGCAAAGCATATTTATTTTAATTGCATTATTTTGGAATCAGGTTGAACCTCATAACTTGGATTCCCCTGCTTTTAGATGGCATTACACAATTATCAAAAATTGGACCCAAATCAACTAAATTAAAAGACTTTTTAAAAATACAGTGAGTTTTCATCAAAAACTTGGATGAAAGCATAAAAGCATGCTGATCACATTTGCAAATGACAGAAAGCTGGGAGGGATCGCTAATATGATGGATGTCAGTATCAACATTCAGAGTGATCTCGACAGGTTGGAACAGGAAGGGCTGAAACCATCACAAAGAAAGTTAACAAAAATAAATCTGAAGCTCAGCATTTAGAATTTAAACAAATGGGAGAGCCTTGGCAAAGTGGTTCATGTTAAGAAGATCTGGGGAGTTTATTCCATATACACTCAAAATGAACCAACAAAGAACGTGTGTGGTAGAAGGGAGGGATGCCACATTACCTTCAGCTGCAGTAGTAGGAGTATGGGCAGACCCAAGTTGATGATGGTTGCATGGACTCTGTCCTGTCAGACTGTTCTTCGTGAATTGAGTCCAGTTCTAAGCTGGGATTTACTGTTTCTGGGAACTTGTAATGGATGATTGGGGGAAACAGAAATATGTAGGCAAGAAGGGAAAAGATTTGGTGAAATTGGGTCACTCTTTTGCCCTATGGCAAAAAGAACTATTCTCCCAAAGACAGATCTAGAGAGAGGAGGGGGGCCTCTTCCCGCTCACTTGTCTGATAACAAGTGTTGGCCATACTAGCTGCTGTGGAAGTGTGAGTTCATCAACACAGGGAGTAATTAAGGTAGTTTTAGTTTTAGCTTTTTGGGGAACCCCCATACTGTTTTCCATAATGGCTATACTAATTTACATTCCCATCAGCAGTATATGAGTGCTCCCCTTTCTCTACATTCTCACCAGCATTTATTTTTTGTCTTTTTAATAATAATCATTCTAACTGGGGTGAGATGATATGTCCTTGTGGTTTGGATTTGCATCTTCCTGTTGATTTGTGATGTTGAGCATTTTTAAACATACCTGTTGGCTATTTCTATGTCTTGTTTTGAAAAATGTCTATTTAGGTTTTTTATCTATTTTTAAATAGATTTTTTTTCTGCTATTGAGTTGAATTCCTTATATATTCTGGTTATTAATCCCTTGTCGGATGGATAGTTTGCAAAATTTTCTCCCATTCTGTAGTATTTCACTTTTTAAATTGTTTCCTTTGCTGACCATCACATATATTCTTACATAATTTCACTTAAGACTCCAGCTCTGTGTGGTATTATTTATGGTTTGAGTAATTTCCTTAATAATGTCATTCACTGAAATTCAGTTTTCATAATACCTTCCTTCTTAAAGTTTTACATATACAAATTCATAAAACTGGAGTGACCTTGGGATCATCTAATCCAAGTCCCATATTTTCAGAAGAGTAAATTAAGGTTTAAAGGGGTTAACTGGCTTGCCTAATGTCGGTGACAGAGTAGAGGACAAAATCCAGATCTCATCACTCAATAGGTTTCTATTTCATCATACTGTCACTTCTATTTAATGACAATTTATTATATTTTTGAACATATAAACTTTATTAAATATTTTTAAATTACAATAATAGTAATATATATCCATTGGGGTTTTTTTTTAAAGGCAACCATTTACAAGTGGATAAAATGAAAAATGAAAGTCTCTACTTCATTTATAGCTGCCCGATCCCACTCCTTAGCCGTGTTTTAGTGTGTATCCATAATCTATTACATTATAAATAAGAATTTGCCCTGTCAAGTTTGAGAGTTGATTTGAGCCCTACAATTTATTAAAGATGCTAGCTTCCCCCAGTGAGTCAGGTCAATAGAGAAAGGAGGAAATGTGTTGCCAGCCCAGTATGTTTTAATCTTCATGTACTAGCATGTGTTCCTTTAAGGTAGTAAGTGAGCAGTTTTCTCCATTTGTGGGAATGGGAGGTGGAGGGGTTTTGTTCCAAGTCACAGAGGAAATGAATGTTTTAGAGGCCAGAAAGAGCTCCTGAGTTCTGTGAAGCATTCCTGGCTCTGGGACCTTCAGTTCTCCTTTGGGCCAAACTTCTCTCCCTCAAAAGTGAGCTCAGATCATTGTACATCAGTGCAGTCAAAACATGTCACGTTTGATTTGTCTCTCCTCAAAATGTTTCTGTTCTCTGCACCACAGTTGCTTTTAATTTAGCAATACAAGTATGTATAGATACTGGGATTAGCTTCAGAGCCTGCATAATTACTAATGAGAAAACATACTTAGTGTCCTCATTAGTTGATCATTTCAAGTATTTTTCAGCATACTAGGATGTTTTCTGGTAATCAGTGCCACTTAACGGAGTAACAGACTTGCAAATACGAGAGGTGCTGCTCAGATAAAACCAGGCACCAGCAAATGGCATTTAAATGTGTTCACAAGATAGCCTATGAAACAATGTGGCTTAAGACACGTTAGAACTACAAGGTAAACAGAATGAAGCTGCAAAAAGAGTGGTTTCATGAAGCATCTCAGAAGACCCTCTCAAATTGTTACCAATTCACCAGATGATTTCACGCCAGTTCCTGCCCCTCTGTGGGCCAGTTTCCTGATCCAAATGGTAAAGAGATTAAGCTAAATTCATTCCCATTATCTCTCCAGGCTTCTCATTCCCTGATATTCTGACCATAATATTAATAACTGCTATAGTTCCACTATGAGTACAGGTCAGCATTTCCTAAAACATGGTGCCCAGACTGCTCCTACGAGAAAGAGGTGGGGTGTTTGCTTTAAAATGCAGATTCCCAGGCCATACCCACTCAGACATACTGAATCAGAACTGGGAAGAAGGAGAGGCAGGCAAAAATCTGTACTTTAAAAAGTGCCATTGGATGATTCTTTGGCACACTAAGGTTTGAGAACCATCGATATAGTTTATAATAACAACTCAATTTTACCTTGAATTTTCCAGCTTTTCCTGGGGTTGAGAAGGGATGAGCAATAGAGATATAAATTTTCCTGAAAGCAATCAATTCATTTAACAAATACTTACTGAATGGCTGCTAGGTAGTAGGCACTGTTCCAGGGCAATGGACACGTTGCTGAACAAGACAAAGCCCTTATCCACATGAACCTTACATACCTGTAAAGGAGAAAAAGAGTAAACAAATATACAATTGCAGTGATGTCATTGGTGGGAGGAGAGGAATTTTTTGCTTTTTGCTTTTTGGAGTGGGGGCATAGAGTTAGATCAGAAAAGAAAAAATTGGGGGGAAAATATATTCATTGCCAATTTTTAAAATGTCACTTTTTAAAGTGTAAGAACCTAAGAATATGTATACATAGTTTGACTTATACAATGATCACATCTAAAATTTTTAGAGCTATAGTTGAGAAAAGTAACATTTTAAGGGGAGAAAAACGTGTCCTTAGCGTAGTCTACATATTTAGCCAGGGCTGAAAGTGAGATAGAGTAAATATTAGATTCCACTCTGCTATTAAAGCCTCACATCACTAATTTTTGAGGGGTGGTGTTTTCCATGGGTCTCACTTAATTTCCACACAAATATCTCATTTGGGGCCTGGGCTATTGCTGAAGTCTGACTTGTATAGCTGCGTTACTGCCATATGAAACACACAGACCCATTTTAGTTTACATAATATCCATTGCTGTTGTTTGCAGCTCTAGATTCCCATTCTAGGTGCTTTAGAGAAACCTTCCTTAGGCATTGGCTGTCAGTAAATGTAATACTGTGTCTTTGACTAGTGAGAAAGCCAGAGTTCTGACAGATCAATAACCCCTATAGGGTGGAAAAAAATTAGTATAAACAGGAAAAAAGTTCATTTAAAAAAATCTTTTTGCATTTGACCTATGTTCGATTGGCATGATCAGTAAGCAAATATTTCTAGATTTTCTTTGTCAAACCCCAAACCTACTTAGCCCAGAGACAGAGCAATCAATGTAGGGCAGCAGAGACACAGAGCTGGGAGTCCAGTCCTTCCAACTCTAGGACCAGTATTCATTGGGTGAGGTTTTCCTAAACTGGTAGGCCAGGCAGAGAAAAAATCTAAAACGTTTTGTTCCGTTCCTTTACATCTTATGTCCAATAGAGGAGATTTTTCTTTTCCTCCAGCATTGGATGCTGACCCTCCAGTCACCCCCAAGTTACTGGTGGCTCAGACTGAATTCACTTTGGCTCCAAAATTCTGAGACTTGGACCAAAACCACTGCAGGTGAAGCCCAGAGGATCTGGCTGGAGCCTGGCAGGCTGGGCCGGCTGGCTTTCCTTCTTGCTGGGCTCCATCAGAGAAAAGTACACACACAGGGTGGGCAGGGACTTCACTTCCCTGTGTGCAGAAGGCATGAAATGTGAGCCCAGCAGGGGCAGAAGCCTGCAGAGGACCCTGGGTGAAAGCTACACACTTTGATGGATTCTGAACAAATATTGGAAGCAGAGAGATTGTTGAGTTGTGAGCCATGGATTCAGGGGAGTCAGTGCAGGAGGTAGCTGTCAGATCCATTCTCAGGGGAAACTATTCATTCTTTAGTCTTTTTCTCTCTCCCACTATTTTAAAACAAAATAATGCTGAATCAGTGTCAAGTTCCAGGCAATAACATCATACCTGGTGTGATTTAGCAATATTTAGAATCATTTAATGCAAGAGCCAGAAGTAATCTTAGGGATCAGGTAGTCCACTTTATTCCTGTTCCAGAGACTGAAACTGACTCAGAGAGGTTAAATGCCTTGTCTAGAACTGCACAGCAAGTCAGTGCAGAGCCTGGATGAGGACCCCATGACCTGCTGCTTGGTCCAACACACTTTCCTTTACTCCCACTCATTTGGGAGTTTCACAAGTAGCTCCCTCAGCTTTTGAAAGGGAGGATCTGCCCTGAATTTCATTCTGCTCTTGGAGAGCCTGTGGAATTATTAAATAAATTCATAAATAAGGAGAAAATAAAAAAGGGGAAAGTTAATTCCCTTTTCCCCACTCTCTTCCAGTTAAGAGTCTGTGTGCTGGTGGGGCGCGGTGGCTGATGCCTGTAATTCCAGCACTTTGGGAGGCCAAGGCAGGTGGATCACAAGGTCAGGAGTTAGAGACCATCCTGTCCAACATGGTAAAACCCTGTCTCTACTAAAAATACAAAAATTAGCTGGGCATGTTGGTGTGCGCCTGTAGTCCCAGCTACTCGGGAGGCTGAGGCAGGAGACTCGCTTGAACCCGGGAGGCAGAGGTTGCAGTGAGCCAAAATCATGCCACTGTACTCCAGCCTGGCAACAGAGCAAGACTCTGTCTCCGAAAAAAAAAAAAAAAAGGAGGAGGTAGTGGCAAGTGTCTATGACATAGGATCGTGCCGCCATGCTTCCTTCTCCTGGACTTTGCTCCCATGGTCTATTACAACACAGAATATTCAGGACTTCATAGAATCCCAGGCATTGTGTAGGATTGTTGGGAACAGAGAAGCCAGGGCTCTGAACTGGACCAGATGTTATAGGATCTTAGAACATCAGGGCTGAAAATCAAAAACTTTCTACTTCAACCCATTCCATTTCATAAATATGGAAGCTGAGGGATGGTGATTATTTCAGACATCATAACTGCTATCAATATCATCACTGTCATTTGTTAATCATGTACTATATATCAGGCCCTTTACATATGTTATCACATTTAATCATCACAGCAAAATTTTGAGGAAGGCCAGGGATGGTACACATGGTAATCCCAGCATAGATTGTAGGGAGGTCCAGCCAGGTGGATCGTTTAAGCCCAGGAGTTCAAGACCAGTGTAGGCAATATGGGAGTTCAAGACCTGCCTAGGCAATATAGGAGTTCAAGACCAGCCTAGGCAATATAGAGACACTGCCTCTACAAAAAATAGAAAAAATTAGATGGGCGTGGTGGTTCCTGCCTGTGGTTCCAGCTACTCAAGAGGCTGAGGTGGGAGGATCGCCTCAGCTGGGGAAGTCGAGGCTGTAGTGAGCCCTGATCACACCATTGCACTCCAGCCTGAGGAACAGAGCGAGACCCTGTCTCAAAAAAAAATTTTTTTTGAGGAAGGTATCCCCATTTTACAGAGTAGAAAGCTGAGGTTCATAAAAGCAAAATGATCCTACATTATTTCCCATATTAGGGGCCAGAACAAAATTGAGATTAAAGTAGCTGGACTCTCTGATTTTTTTTTTTTTTTTTTTAGTTATTTAATACTGCTTCTTGGGAAAACACAAAGAAAAAAAGACCCAATTAAATAAGCGTCTCATTTCCTCTCACCCAGGTAGCTCCACAGTAAGCACCTAGTTGCTTATTAGCTGTTTCTTCTCCAACCAGGTTAGGATATTACAGCAAACCTAAGCACTCTTCTGACTATTCTTTCATTGAAAAAATATTCAACAGTTATTTATTGAGGTGTAATTATGTGCCAGTCACTGTACTGTTGACAGAAACATAGGACCAATGAATACATACCTGGAGAGCTCCAGTGAGAGTAAAGCAAAATGCTTTTTAAAGATTTCATAGGCCAGACGCGGTGGCTCACGCCTGTAATCCCACCACTTCAGGAGGCCAAGGCAGGTGGATCACTTGAGGTCAGGAGTTTGAGACCAGCTTGGCCAACATGGTGAAACCCTGTCTCTACTAAAAATACAAAAGTTAGCCAGGCATGGTAGCACACACCTGTAGTTCCAGCTACTCGGGAGGCTGAGGCACGGAATCGCTTGAACCCAGGAGGTGGAGGTTTCAGTGAGCCAAGATCGTGCCACTGCACCCCAGCCTGGGCGACAGAGCAAGACACCATCTCAAAAAAAAAAAAGATCCCACCAGCTAGTAACATCAGACATACTTAATAGCTAGGAGGGGTAAAACTTGAAATCACAGGGTCAGCATAAGTCCTGGCTGTACCACTATTGGTTGTGTAACTTGAGAAAATCTCTTAGCTTCTCTGAGCCTCAGTTTTTTCACCTGTAAAATAAAGATTAAAATCCCTACCCATGAGGATCAGTTCAGAAAAGGAATGCAAAATGATGCACAGCCATGTTAATGTGAAGGAAATGATGTGCCTATTTACGTGTTTCTGTGTATCTCTTAAATCTCTGTGTTGTTGGCTGTCCCTTGATTAGTATCTTGCTGTGTCAGTCTTCCTGCTTGCAGCAGAAAAGTCTTTACTCCGGTGATTCAAGAAAAACTCTGGTTCCACCAGAATTTCTGAAAGCTGGGTGAAAACTTTATTCCTACTTATATCGTTCTGCTCTTCGGACTCTCTAGATCCATGCTGTCCAATAGACCTCCCCTCAGTGATGGAAATGTTCTATCCCACATTTGGCCATTGAACACTTGAAATATGGCTAACATGACTGAGGAACTGAATTTTTAATTTCATTTAGTTTTTATTAACTTAAATAGCCACAAGTCCTGAGTCTGATGGCACACAGCTGCCTGGGTTCTGCCAAAGAGACCTCTCTTTCCACCACTTCCTGGTTTGTTTTATCTCACAGAAATTCATCAACAGCCAGCAAAAATCATTCTTTCTCTTGTTGATTATTTCTGCGATTCTCAAACTTCATTGTGTATGAGAATCACCTGGAGATCTTGATAAGACAGTTTGGTGGGCCAGGCACGGTGTCTTATGCCTGTAATCCCAGTACTTCGGGAGGCTGAGACAGAAGAATTGCTTGAGTCTAGGAAATCAAGACCAACCTGAGCAACATAGCGATACCCACCCCCAACCCACGCCCCCATTTCTACAAAAAAAATTTTTTTTTGATGTTTGCTGTGTCTACCCCCAGAGTTTCTAATTCAGTAGGTCTGTGGTAGGGCCTGAGATTGTCATTTTTTTTTTTTTGGAGACAGAGTGCCACTCTGGCACCCATGCTGGAGTGCAGTGGCACGATCTTGGCTCACTGCAACCTCCACCTTGCAGGTTCAAGCGATTCTCGTGCCTCAGCCTCCCGAGTAGCTGGGATTACAGGCACATGCCACCACACCCAGCTAATTTTTATATTTTTAGTGGAGATGGGGTTTCACCATGTTGGCCAGGCTGGTCTCGAACTCCTGACCTCAGGTGATTCACCACCACCCCCCCACCCCCCAGCCTCCCAAAGTGGTGGAATTACAGGCATGAGCCACCGCCCAGGCCGAAATTATCACTTCTAACACATTCCTGGGTGTTGCTGATGCTGCCAGTCTGGAGACCACACTTTGAGAACCACTGGGTTAATTTAGCATCTCATGGGGAGACAGCTGTGCTATAGTGAAATGAGTAGACCCTTGAGATCTACTTGGACACAAACTCCTGGGGCAGTAGTTCTCAATTGGGCTACTCCACTTTGGAGTCACCTGGGGAGCTTTTAAAATTCTTGACCCCTGGGCTCCACCCCAGACCAATTAAATGAGAATCTCTAGGCGCAGGACCCAGACAAGAGTTGTTTCTTCAAGCTCCCCAGGTGATTGCACTGCACAGTCAAGGGTGAAAACCACTTTGCCAATTCGGCTTAAGCAAATTTCCTTGTCTATTAAGTGATAACGATAAAATTTGCTGTATTTGTATCACAGGGCCATTGTGAGAATCACATGAGACTGTGAATGTGAAGGGGTTTTATAAACTGTAACACCTAAAAGTAAGAATTTAGGCATTGATGGTCTTGGAAGGGCCTGTTTGCAAGTGATGCCATCATCCCCACTGAAGCAGGATAATGCTGCTCTCTCTGGTTTGCATTCTAGTACTGTCCCACTGACCAGGCTGCTGCAGGCACAGATGCTGAGCATGTGCAACAATTCTACAACCTCCTGACAGCCTCCATTGATGTATCCAGAAGCTGGGCAGAAAAGATTCCGGGATTTACTGATCTCCCCAAAGAAGATCAGACATTACTTATTGAATCAGCCTTTTTGGAGCTGTTTGTCCTCAGACTTTCCATCAGGTAATTACTACTATTTTATCTTCAGTCTACGTCCTTTGAAGAAGCCTGAAACCTTCTGTGTTTGTAACTGAATCATTGGTGAAACGTTTTCTCAAGAAGCAAATGTGAAATATGATCAGGCACTAAAAAGACTGAGCAGCGAGTCACGGAGGGAGCACTAGGCTTGCCACCAGGACCCGTGGGTTCTAGTCCCAGTTCTAATGTGGACTTGCTGTCACACCCTGAGCAGGTCACTTGCCTGACGGGAAGTTCAATTCCATCCTCCTTAAAAGGAAGAGGTTGGATTTGATGATCTCTTGAGGTCCCTTGCAGCTCCAACATTCTATGATTCTCGAAAGATTCTCATAGTGCATAAGCTATTTCCTGGGAGCAAGTGTTTGCTTTGGAACATTGTATTTACCTCGTGGGTTTCTGTTTAACAAGTTACTATTCTAGCACACCTGATGGGGCCCTAAAGAGTTCCCACACCTTCTCAACCCCCAGTTTTATTCCAAGAGAACACTCTTAGATAGAAAGATTTAGTCCATCCTATCATACTCAGTGACGCCAAACACAAAAAGGAAAAGTGATTTTTCAAAAACATAGAACCTTGGATCTAAGCTCCTCTAGTAAGTTCCACATGTAGATTTTTTAAAGTTTATTTTATTATTGTTTTTATTCACAAATAGCCTGTTTAACTCCATCTTCCTTGCTTCCTTTCAGTTATATATTTTTAGGAGATGATACCAACTTTTTACCAAATATTATCAGAAAAATCCATCTTTCCCCTCTTTCTCTTTCCTGCCATCACCTCCCCAATTTCATATCACTACCAGAAACTCCTGTTTAATTTTTAAAGTGCAGATTGCCAGGCCTCATTGCCATCTATTTTGGTTTGGTAGACTGTGGAAGTCCAGAAATCTGCATTTTTAACATATGCTTTAATGATTCTGATGTCATCAGGGTCCATGTTTTATACTCTGAGACTAAATCATTCTGTCCTGTGTATGCCTTCTGTGGAGGGATCAGTAGGAGAGATGGGGTGGAGTTACAACTAGAGTGCCAGTAATAGCTTAATTTGTAGCCAATCTAGTGTACACCAGAGCTGAGCCAGCAATGTGACTGTCATCTATTAGGCATGCAACAAAGGATTAAGTAGACTGTAAGCTCCATGCAGGCAGGTGCCATATATGTCCTATTCACCATGTTTTCTCCCAGTGCCTGGCTCCAGGAATAACACATACTTCATGCTCAGTAGACACTTGGCTGAGTGAAGGAATGAATGAAGCTGTTCATCCAAGAAGCACAAAGAGATATTTGACTTGTGAATACAACAGGCCAAGATAGATACATACGTGGCAAGAGATTTGAAAGTTAAAGGAAATCTAAGATTAAAGGAAGAACCACATATAATTCAGCCCCTTACTTGTTATACCCAATATTTGTCGAACCATCCTGTGTACTGGGCACCATGCATGGGCTTTCAAATCCTTTCTTTTATTTAATTCCCTCAACAATCTTAGGAGGTAGCAATTAGAATTTTTGTTTTATAAATAAGGAAAAAGAAGTCCAGAGAGATTTAAGGAGCACCCAAAGCCACACCCCAAGTCATCATGTCCACCTGGAAGTTCCAGGGCACCTATCATGAAAGAAGAATGAGATGATGATGGACATAATATAAACTATCAGGACAGATTTAGAAATAGCCCTCTGCAGCCCCAATGTTAAAAGCAGAGAAGGTAATACAAAATAAGGACTTGTTTTATGTTAGGCCACCCTTTAATTTGTGATAGACTTCTGGCACTTACAGGGACTTGATTTTTGTTTTGTTTTGTTTTGAGACAGAGTCCCACTCTGTCACCCAGGCTGGAGTGCAGTGGCACGATCTTGGCTCACTGCAACCTCCGCCTCCCAGGTTCAAGTGATCCTCCTGCCTCAAGCTCCTGAGTAGCTGGGACTACAGGTGCACACCACCAAGCCTGGCTAATTTTTGTATTTTTAGTAGAGATTGGGTTTCACTATGTTGCCCAAGCTGGTCTCAAACTCCTGACCTCAGATGATCCACCCGCCTTGGCCTCCCAAAGTGCTGGGCTTGCAGGCGTGAGGCATCGCACCTGGCCAGGGACTTGGTATTTTTAAAGTGTGCACAATGGAATTGTAGTGTCTAGCCTCAGGCCTTGGCAGTTTTTAACATTTAAGAAAATCAAGGACAAGCCCTGTCTCAGGATCCCTGGAGGGAACAGTCTCATGTTCATTGCTGAGAGAGGGGTGCACTGGGCTTCATCTCTGGAACCCATGAGTGCCTGCTCCCCCATTTCCTGTCCCAAGGAAAGCCAGTAATTGATTCTAGTAATAAGATAGCAGGTGCCACAGCCCATATCTTCCCCTGGGCTGATGTTCACCAAAGACATTAGCATAGACAAGTGGTGCTAGTTGTTTATCCCAGAGAACATAGTCTTATTCATTGTGGGTATCTGGCATGCTTCATAGCACCACACTGGGGTCCCAATGCTGCCCCATGGCTGTCTGTGTGCCTGTGTGTCATAATGTTATCATGTTGGACAGATTGAACAGACCTGTTTAATGTTTGTCTTCCTCTCACCTCCCAGGTCAAACACTGCTGAAGATAAGTTTGTGTTCTGCAATGGACTTGTCCTGCATCGACTTCAGTGCCTTCGTGGATTTGGGGAGTGGCTCGACTCTATTAAAGACTTTTCCTTAAATTTGCAGAGCCTGAACCTTGATATCCAAGCCTTAGCCTGCCTGTCAGCACTGAGCATGATCACAGGTAAGCACCACCTTGCCAAAACCGCATCCTCATTTCTCTCCTTCCCTTTGTTATGGTGGAATCTGGCCTTGACCACTACACACACCAGAAAAGTGGGAAAATGACTACCATTTTTCTGAAATCTGTTAAGTTTAACCTAGTTTAAGCAAAGAAACATGCATCTATAATTTGTTGTCATAAACTTCTAGTAAAGAGGATCCATAGTCTATTGAATTATCATTGTCAGTAAGCCCAATATACGAAAATCTAACTTCCTACTAGAGATCTGTGGACAGTGGGACTAGCTGCTTCAGGGTTTGTTTGTTTTGAGACAGGGTCTTGCTCTGTCACACAGGCTAGAGAGCAGTGGTGTGATCATGGCCTAGTGTAGCCTCGACCACCTGGACTCAAGTGATCCTCCCACTTCAGCCTCCTGAGTAGCTAGGACTATAGGCACATGCCACCACACATTTGTCCTGTTTTGTAGCCCTGTTTCACCCTGTTGCCCAGACTGGTTCAGTGTTCTTGTTACAAAGCCTTTCCTAGGGAGATTACCTAACCCAGCCCATTCCTGTGGAGCAGAGGTGATGAGGTTTCCCCTGTCCCCAGTTCTTGGCTAGCGACCTAAAGTAAAACCAAAACACTATAGACATATCAAATACAACTTGATTTAATAACTTCGATTGGCAAAGGACTGAGAAAAAGCAAAAATGGTTCAACTCAGCAGTTTTTTATTTTTATTTTTAAAATTTTATTATCATTATTTTTGAGATGGAGTCTCACTCTGTCGCCCAGGCTGGAGTGCAATGATGTGATCTTGGTTTACTGCAACCTCTGCCTCCTGGGTCCAAGCAATTCTCCTGTCTCACCCTCCTGAGTAGCTGGGATTACAGGTACCTGCCACCATGCCCGGCTAATTTTTGTATCTTTAGTAGAGATGGGATTTCATCATGCTGGCCAGGCTGGTCTCGAACTCCTGACCTCAATTGATCTACCCGCCTTGGCACCCCAAGTGCTGGGATTCCTGGCGTGAGCCACCACACCCAGCCAACTCAGCAGTTTTTTAACCACAAACATAAAAGATATTTGATTTATGCCTGTCTCCCTCTATAGATCTCTCTCTTTCTATCTTTTGGGAGATAAAGGATCCCAAGGTGGGGTGGGATGGAGAAAGGCGCGTGTTGGGCAAAGGAAAGAATATCATCTCCCTGTGGCCATGGAGGCCCTTGCCCCAGCTCCCTTTGCCCCGGGGGAGAGTTTCCTGTTAGACCTCATTCTTTCTGGTCAGACTGGGGCCTGGGGAGGTGGTGACAGAGGGTGGGGGCTCCAGAAGTGGCCAAATGAGGGGCTCATCCTTGACCTTTTGGTCAGACACAAGCACAGGCTTGGCTGTTGAACAGAGTTCAAGATCAGAATAATATGCTCTTGGCTATAGAAAACATGTTTCTCAAGCAGGTGGTGAGTTTCCAGAGCATCAAATGCAACCTCTGGTACAGATGGCCCCTTCTTTCTGTTTCACTGGAAATGTGCATTGGTTTGCCCAAGCATTGTTTACTTGCATTTCTTGGGATATCTCCTATTAGCTAAGGTTAGATGTGTCTGTGCCTTAAGAGGCTAGGCTGGTTCATCATTTGATGGTTGACATGCAGGCAAAGACAAGCAACTGGTATGGCTGCAATGAGGATTCAGACAGTAGCTGTTCCTTCAGTATTCCAAATGGAAACTGACTTCCTCCTGGTCTTTGGTCCAGGATGAGAAACTCACTTTTTTTTTTTAATGGGGCTGCTAGACTTCCAAGAGAGCCATTAACGAAACAAAAACCAAGGCAGTCTCAAAGAGTATGGATTCCATTTGGAAGGCTTTCAAATGGCATACTGGAGCATCTGAAGAAAATAAACAGATTTAAGGCACAAGCATATTACTTCATCAGGACTGGAAGGAAACTGGTTCAAGGCTGCCTTTGAACTAAAGCTCTTTAGTTCAATTTCAAAACCATTCAGCAATTCCTACGTCAGTTAAACATTCAAAACTAGAAAGTATGGAGTTTAGTTCATTTTAAAAAGACAAAAACAAAAAACTAGATCCAGCTTTGGATTCCTACAAGTAAAAGCAGTACATTGCTTCATCTCCATGGCAACGAGTGTTGAGTCTAGTTAATCAACAAATATTCACTGACCTAGGCACCATGCTGCATGTCATTGGGTTTTCAGAGATGATAACACACATCCCTAGAGGACATAGACATGCAAAGTACCACATGTGATGCAAGGTGTTGAGTGCCACCATGGAGACAAGGGAGTGAGTTCAAAGTGCTCAGAGACAGCAGGTGGGGGTGGTCTTCTCAGAAGAGATCACAGGAGCTGGTCCTTTGTAAGTGCAGAGGATGTCTCCAGGCTAAAATGGAAAAAGTGAGAATCCAGGCATAAACATTTGCCAAAAGCCATTGAAAATATGGCTAAGTTTCAGAAAGGAAACAGCTGAAAATTGGAGTGACAGGAGATGTGACTGGTCTGATAGGTCAGGGTGGGGCGGGACATAAAGAACCTTCCACGCCTAGGTGAGGGGAGCAGAGTTTATCTTGAGAACAACGAGGATCCACAGGTTTTGTCCAAAGGAGCTTGATGGTCAGGTTTGCGTTTTAGAAAGATTTACCCTGTCAGTGAGTTTTGGGCATAGATTAGAGTGAGAAAGAATCTAAGAGGAAAAAGGCCAGTCCAGGTGTGAGAGCCATGATTCAAGAGGAGGGTCCATCCCTGAAGGCCACATCTTTGTTTCACTCTTTAAATGGAAATTGACAGATATCTAAGAGGCCAGGACGTGTGGGTGCCAGGAAGACCCAACCTGGAGAGACTGGGCAGTTCAGTGCAGAGAATACAAAGTAGAAATTAGTAGAAGGGTGGTGCTGGTCCTCTTTCTGCATCCCATTTGTTCTATTCCCTGCAGTTACAGCTGCTCAGCCCGCTGCCCATTTATGTGGAGATTGGCTGGGGGAGGAGGCAGTTTGGCATGGCAGAAATAGCATGGACTTTGGAATCGAGCACGCCCAGATTTTAATCTTCAGTCCTATGTTTAATAAGTAGGCGCTATTGGGGAACACATTTCAGTTCTCTGAAATTCAGTTTCCCCATTTGTAAAATGGGGATAACAATGTCTATGTCATAGGGCAGCAGTGAGGATTACAGAAAATTTAGTTGGTGATGTAACCAAACTGGATTCAGGATAGGCAACTCTGAATTCACCTATGGTCCCCCTTGGAGTGATAGTGACAGATTCCCTCAAGTTAGGCATATGCCTTCCCCTACCCCTTGGAAGCATCAAACTCAGTGGCATGAGGAAACAGGTGGTGGCTTTAGAAGGCAGTATGTTTGGTGACAGTCTCCTTGGATGCTTAAGAGAGAGGCTCAAAGGAGGATAGTGATATTAAAGTAATTAAGCTGCACTTAACAAGCACTTACAATAGACCAAGTGCTCTACAGTGGTGTCTTTGGGCCTCCCCGACCAGGTAGCTCCTGTTCCTGCCCTCATTCCTGCTGTGGTTTTAGCCTACAACAAAAATAAGCCCTCTTCTCTCATTTCTGGACCTTACAACAAACACTCTCTTTGTGACTTACTGGTTGAAAGTGGGTTTGATAAGTGTGAAAATATCAGGAAATGGCAGAAAAGGCAATGCCTGGGAAACAGTGTGCATTGCTGTGAATATTAATTTTCATTTGAATATGAGCTGCCATGGATCTTGACTTCTGAATAAGCTTCGTTGATCATAAATGGTGATTGTGGAGTATCAGCTGGGCTATTTACATTACAAAATTCATCCCAAAACTGTCTTTTCTTAAACCACAGAGAGCTCATGAAAAGGAAATGGCATCTTAGAAGTTTAACTAGGCTTGCTTCCAGGAAAAGTATTAAGAATCTGGATTAGTATTGGTGGTTTGCACAAACATGGCTTTTTTTTCTCTCATTCTTTTTTTCTTTGTCCTCCTCCTCTCTGTACCCCCTCATGAAAAACTAGGCGGTGAAGTGGGGCAGGAAATGGTTTCATTCAGATCACTCTCCTTTCCTGCAGTAAACAGGGGGTTCCCCACAGTGGTTGGCTTTCAAACGTTTTTCAGGTTCCCTGTTTATCTACCCTAACCATTGCCCTTTGCCAGTGCTGCATCTCTGAAGTAATGCAAGTGCTTTGAATCTGGTGGGATACCAATGAGTTGATATCTGGTTGCAGTTAATAATGTTTCATAAATAAGAAGCCCCCTCACCAAACAGAAAGTTAGTGTGGCATTACCATTTTATAAATATCCACTCATTAAATAAGCATCGAGGGCCCACTATGTACCAAGCATTGTACCAGTCTCTTGGGATGCAAAGATGAGCCAGGCACGCATTCTGTTGCCAAGAAGTGGGCAGTCTACTAGGAAGTCATAGATTATGATATATAAACTTGATGTATAGTGATTAGTGCTCAGGCCCTGAAAAGGGACAGATGCAGTGTAGAGTAAGTCCAGATTACTGCTAACTTTTTTGAGGTGAAGGAAGGTAGAAGTGTTGGTCATGAATGACTTCCCAAAGAGGTAGCATCTAGACATGAGAAGACATAAAGAACATTCCAGATGAAGGAAAGAGAACAGCAAGGGCATGGCAGTTGAATGCCTCAGTACAGTTTAGGGTTAAAACAATTACAGTGGAGTTGCATTGTGCATATATTAAAATCACACATATGATACAAGTAGAAAGAGGAGAAAAATTAAGAGTGCAGGCTATTGCATTTGATGACTGTATGTCCTGGAGTGAGCATGAATCCACTGTAGGTCATGGTTTCTCTGCCTCTGGTGATGAGTGGTGAGATGATGTCTTGTGCTTTTGGGAAAGTTAAATGATTTTCAGGGATAAAACTAATTCTATGTGATATTTACCTTCTGGCTTGATGTGATGACCTAACCTCAGAGCAAAACGCTTTTCCTGTACAGAAATAGGGGAAATAAGATTGGAAAGATAGTTTTGAACCAGATGGCAGAGGGAATCTCAAGTGCTCAAATGCCATTTTGTTGTTCCCCATGGCTTTCTTTTCCCTACTCAGGTCATCTCTCAGGTGAGAAAATGACTCCTTTCTCGTCTGACTCTAGTCTTTTTCCTGGTCTTATTGAAACACGACCTCTAAGACTGAGAAGGAGGAAGGAGGGCAGAACCATGGCAGAAAGTAGTGAAACAGTGACACAGCAGGACTAGACAGGTGGCTGACCACGGCACACCCTCCACCA
The DNA here is from genome assembly GCF_000001405.40 of Homo sapiens. Taxonomy (NCBI): domain Eukaryota; kingdom Metazoa; phylum Chordata; class Mammalia; order Primates; family Hominidae; genus Homo; species Homo sapiens. Next base: position 99,852,847 of record NC_000009.12, read on the forward strand.
TCTGTCTTTCCAGAGCTCCACTGCTCACTGTAAATGGTTACCTGGTTACCCCTGCTTTTGCATCAGATAAAGCCATCAGCTACATTGCAAGGAAAACTAAATATCAAACTTAGCGGGGCAAAATAGTTAAAAACAAAAATGGTGGGAGAGGGGAGAGGCCACAGGATTTAGAGACCGGAGATCTGAGTTCAGGTCTTCACCCTGAAATGTGCTGTCTTTGCAATCTTGGACAAGTTCCTTACCCTCTCTGAATCTCAATTTCCTTCCTTCTCACAGGGTTAAAGATGTCTACTTTCAGGTTTCTTATAAAAATTGAATGAACTAATATGTACTATGCAGAAAAAAAATTAGACAAACCTTCACTGTTATTATTTGTTTTACACACTTCCATGAAGAGCCAGCTGTCTTGCTAAGAATCCATAAAAGTGTTCATGCATCCCTGCAACTGAATATACACATTGTGTTAGGGAATTTCTTTTTTTTTTTTTTTTTTTATTATACTCTAAGTTTTAGGGTACATGTGCACATTGTGCAGGTTAGTTACATATGTATACATGTGCCATGCTGGTGCGCTGCACCCACTAATGTGTCATCTAGCATTAGGTATATCTCCCAATGCTATCCCTCCCCCCTCCCCCGACCCCACCACAGTCCCCAGAGTGTGATATTCCCCTTCCTGTGTCCATGTGATCTCATTGTTCAATTCCCACCTATGAGTGAGAATATGCGGTGTTTGGTTTTTTGTTCTTGCGATAGTTTACTGAGAATGATGGTTTCCAATTTCATCCATGTCCCTACAAAGGATATGAACTCATCATTTTTTATGGCTGCATAGTATTCCATGGTGTATATGTGCCACATTTTCTTAATCCAGTCTATCATTGTTGGACATTTGGGTTGGTTCCAAGTCTTTGCTATTGTGAATAGTGCCGCAATAAACATACGTGTGCATGTGTCTTTATAGCAGCATGATTTATACTCATTTGGGTATATACCCAGTAATGGGATGGCTGGGTCAAATGGTATTTCTAGTTCTAGATCCCTGAGGAATCGCCACACTGACTTCCACAATGGTTGAACTAGTTTACAGTCCCACCAACAGTGTAAAAGTGTTCCTATTTCTCCGCATCCTCTCCAGCACCTGTTGTTTCCTGACTTTTTAATGATTGCCATTCTAACTGGTGTGAGATGATATCTCATAGTGGTTTTGATTTGCATTTCTCTGATGGCCAGTGATGATGAGCATTTCTTCATGTGTTTTTTGGCTGCATAAATGTCTTCTTTTGAGAAGTGTCTGTTCATGTCCTTCGCCCACTTTTTGATGGGGTTGTTTGTTTTTTTCTTGTAAATTTGTTTGAGTTCATTGTAGATTCTGGATATTAGCCCTTTGTCAGATGAGTAGGTTGCGAAAATTTTCTCCCATGTTGTAGGTTGCCTGTTCACTCTGATGGTAGTTTCTTTTGCTGTGCAGAAGCTCTTTAGTTTAATTAGATCCCATTTGTCAATTTTGTCTTTTGTTGCCATTGCTTTTGGTGTTTTGGACATGAAGTCCTTGCCCACGCCTATGTCCTGAATGGTAATGCCTAGGTTTTCTTCTAGGGTTTTTATGGTTTTAGGTTTAACGTTTAAATCTTTAATCCATCTTGAATTGATTTTTGTATAAGGTGTAAGGAAGAGATCCAGTTTCAGCTTTCTACATATGGCTAGCCAGTTTTCCCAGCACCATTTATTAAATAGGGAATCCTTTCCCCATTGCTTGTTTTTCTCAGGTTTGTCAAAGATCAGATAGTTGTAGATATGCGGCATTATTTCTGAGGGCTCTGTTCTGTTCCATTGATCTATATCTCTGTTTTGGTACCAGTACCATGCTGTTTTGGTTACTGTAGCCTTGTAGTATAGTTTGAAGTCAGGTAGTGTGATGCCTCCAGCTTTGTTCTTTTGTCTTAGGATTGACTTGGCAATGCGGGCTCTTTTTTGGTTCCACATGAACTTTAAAGTAGTTTTTTCCAATTCTGTGAAGAAAGTCATTGGTAGCTTGATGGGGATGGCATTGAATCTGTAAATTACCTTGGGCAGTATGGCCATTTTCACGATATTGATTCTTCCTACCCATGAGCATGGAATGTTCTTCCATTTGTTTGTGTCCTCTTTTAGTTCCTTGAGCAGTGGTTTGTAGTTCTCCTTGAAGAGGTCCTTCACATCCCTTGTAAGTTGGATTCCTAGGTATTTTATTCTCTTTGAAGCAATTGTGAATGGGAGTTCACCCATGATTTGGCTCTCTGTTTGTCTGTTGTTGGTGTATAAGAATGCTTGTGATTTTTGTACATTGATTTTGTATCCTGAGACTTTGCTGTGTTAGGGAATTTCTTTGTGTCTTTCTTTACCAGCTAGACTGTGGGGTTCTTAAGGACAGGGAGAGTCTTATTTATCTTTAAAATTACTTTAGCATTTACAAGTATCTGGCATATGACAAATATTCATTGAATGAATGGGCCAATTGTGAGTATCAGAAAGTCTCCCAAATTAGAAAAATCTGAATTAATAATTTTTAGCCTACCACTGTTATGATAAAAGTATGAATTCTTGAAAATTGCCTTATTTTGATTCAGATTAATTCAGTAAATATTTATTGAGCATCAACTGTGCACCAGACACACATTCCCTTACCCTCAAAGAGTCTGTGGTCTCACTGGAGAGAGAGACAGACACATACTCTACCAAATCAAAGACGGTCAGACTGAAAAGTACCATTTAAATCAGCCTCAACACAGACTGCTGACTTGACTTGTCGCTTCCTGACCAGCGTGGGCTCAATGTCTCTGGGACTGCCCATCAGTAAAGGATGTTGTGTATGACATGAGTGATAGCAATAAGGTGAATTCCCAGAGAAAGGGGTAGAGCTCCGAGTGGGGAGTCCTGTTTGTTTGTGTTTGAGCTACACATACCTCTCTCTCCAGGGGCCCACCTTTCCTTCCCCTTTGGCTGGAACAGCATTGTTGTCACCAAGTTAGCCTTTGCCCTAACACCTGCTCAGAAAGGGGAGTTACTTTTCCCCTTGGTGGGGCTCCTGATGGTTACTATCATCCCTTTCTTTATCCCCTACTCCCTGCCATGAGGAAGAGAATTTGACATTTCTCATATAAGCCCAAGAGGCAGAACTGGGAACTACATATAGCAGCGGTCCCCAGCATTTTTGGCACCAGAGACTGGTTTCATGGAAGACAATTTTTGCTTGGACTGGGGTCGGAGGAATGGTTTCGGGATGATTCAAGCTTATTACATTTATTGCGCACTTTATTTCTATTATTATTACATTGTAATATAAAATTAAATAATTGTATAACTCACCATAATGTAAAATCGGTGGGAACCCTGAGCTCATTTTCCTGCAACTAGATAGTCCCATCTGGGGGTGATGGGAGACAGTGACAGATCACCACGCATTAGATTCTCATAAGGAACGTGCAACCTAGATCCCTCACATGCACAGTTCACAATAGGGTTCACACTCCTATGAGAATCTAATGCCGCCACTCATCTGACAGGAGGCGGAGCTCAGGTGGTAATGCAAATAACGGGGAGTGGCTGTAAATACAGATGAAGCTTCACTTGCTTGCCTGCCGCTCACCTCCTGTTGTGTGGCCCAGTTCCTAACAGGCCATGGACCAATACCAATTGGGGACCCCTGATATATAGGATGGCAAATTTTAGCTCAATGTAAGAAAAACTTTCACATAGAAAGAACCATTTGAAATTGGAATAAGCTGCCTTGAGGAGTGAGTTCCTGCTTTGGGGAATGAGGCTTACAGAGACTAGATGAACACTAGGTGTGGACTCAGTCAAGCATCTTATGGGGACTAGGATTGACTAGAGCAGAGCTTCTCCAGCATTCACATCACTGGGCATCTTGTTGCATTGCAGATTCTGGTTAGGTAGGTCTGGGGCAGGGCCTGCCTAAACGGATTCTGCATTTCCAGCAAGTTCCCCAGTGATGCTGATGCTGCTGGTCTGGGGACCACACCTTAAGTATCTAGGAATAAGGGAACCTATTGGTAATTAGGAATCCATGAAATTAATAGCTACCATTTAAAAATACTCAGTGCCAGGCACTGTGCCAAGGGCTTTACATGTGTTATTTTGTTTAATGTTGCTTAATAAATAAACTTGGAAGTACCTGAAATAGATTATAGCAGATACAGGAAGCATGGAGATCAGTCAAGAGCTATTAAAATAATCTAGATAGCAAAGATATTGAAGATCCTCATCCAGAGGCCATGGGTATTGAGAGGGAGATATAAATGCAAGGAACATCACAGAGATAATAACGGAAGTTCTTGCAATGGATTAAATATGATGGCTCGGGGGGAAGAAATTGTTAGAGATGATTATAAGAGTGATGTGAAAGGCTGTAATATCATTAATAGACAAGCTTAGAGACGTGGCTGATTTGAAGGGGAAGGTAATGGCTTGAGTTTTAGATAGAGAGGATACTTGCAAATATTCACTAAGTGCTCACTATATGCTAGGCATGGTTCCAAATACTTGACATGTATTAACTCGTTTACTTCTCATAACAACCCATAAGGCAGCTACCATTATTAGCACCATTTTACAAATGTGGAAACAGACCCAAAGTCACCCAGTTAATAAGTGGTCGAGGCCAGGGGTGGTGGCTCACACCTGTAATCCTAGCACTTTGGGAGGCCAAGGCAGGCGGATCACAAGGTCAAGAGATGGACACCATCCTGGCCAACATGGTGAAACCCCTTCTCTACTAAAAATACAAAAATTAGCTGGGCCTTGGGAGGCCAAACAGGAGAATCACTTGAACCCAGGAGGCGAAGGTTGCAGTGAGCCGAGATTGCATCACTGAACTCCAGCCTGGCGACAGAGCAAGACTCTGTCTCACAAATAAATAAATAAATAAATAAATAAATAAATAAATAAATAAGTGGTAGAGTTCAGGTCTACAGCCAGGAAATCTAATTCCAAAGCTTTGATGTGGTAGGTTTTAGAGTTTGTAAAGTTCTTTACTGTTGTTAGCTTCTTAATAACTCCCAACCTGTATATTTATTTTTAGCAGCTTACACTTTTAGTGCTTATATAATCATTTCTCACAGATTCTTGATCCTCTATGTATCAATTTAACAGATATTTATTGGGTGTCTCCTATGTACTAGGCTTGGTGCTGGAGATACAATGTTGAGCAAATACAGTTCATGCCCCCATGGTGCTTACAGTTAATGGGAGGAGAAAAAAATCACATAACTATCTGACTTCAAACTGTTGTGTCCTGCAAAGGGATAGATTAGAATGCCAGAGGAGAACATGATCTAGAATAGGGGTAAAAAGGGAAGCTTCCTTCAAGAAATATTTGATCTGAGATCCAAAGAATGAGTATATCTTAACCAGATGAGGATGGGAAAACATGAGCACAGACCTAAATATAGCTCTATTATTTCACTCCATCACTCTCTCCCCCTGACTCCTTCTTCCCTGGTTCCACCTACCTCGCAACCCCTCCCTCTTGCTCTAAGCAGAGATGTCTATGCCTGGATAGCCAAAATGCACAGAAATCCAACGGTGTCTTTAGGTGTTCATACCACACAAAGATTAGGAGTGTGATCTATCTGTCGCATCTCTAACCCCAGTGGTTATAACATCGCTTGCCACAGAATAGGTGTTCAATAAATATTTGTTGAAAGAAGTAGTTAGTTAATTTGGTGCACAGAAAATAGGAGAGAGTTATAGAAAAGCTAGTTCATCTCAGGACGAGGAGAAACTTTCTAACAATTAGAGATGTCCAGAGATGGAAGACATCTTGTTATAAGAGAAATATCTCTGGACTTAGAGTAAAAGAAAATAGCCCCGTGCTAATTTTGACTATGGGCAAGTCACTTAATTGAGGCTTACCTTCCATACCTATTACTTAAAGATAATCTTTGTCCTGCCTAATTCACAGGATTGTTGTGAGAGTGAGATAAGATAATCTAAGTAAAAGAGTGTTGTATAAAGTGCTATTAAATATATATGTGCTATTATGGCATAATATAGTTAACTCCCAGTCCAGCCACTACCTGACACTCTCTTTATGGTAGCTTGTAGTAGAGATTCTTGTCTTAGATAGAAATTTGAACTAAATAACTCAAACCCTTTCCAATCTATATATACAATGATTATGACACATAAGTCTATTACTTAACCATTTCTGTATGTTACATATCAAAGTTTTGAATATGTAATGCCAGAGTTAAAATACTAAAGCATTCTATGAAAATTATATAGATCAAAATGCAAGAAATATTAAGAAGCTTGTTTTGTTTAATGGTGGACAAAGACCTTAAACTAAAATCTGCTGTGTATAATTCTCTAGGAAGGGGGATAGTCCAAATGCCTGATTTCCCCCCGAATTTATGAACTCTGTATATTAGCTCCGTAGCCATGTTTACCAAGCTACAAGAAGAAAGGAGATCCCTTTAACTAAAATGTCAGTGATTAGGTTTTAAGGGATTTCAAATTACTAGGGAAGGACCCAGACACTTAGTGACTCCCTAGTGATTTGAAAATCTTCCTGGCTGCTGGCAGTAGTTTGCATGGAGACTGAATATTATCTCAGCCCTTTTGAAAAAGTAAAGAAGCTACAAATCCAGTGGCTGTTCAAAACAACAAAGAGGGTTGAGGTGCCTTTGGCTTCTAACAGGACTGTCTCTGAATTCCTCAAGGAATTCCAGGCCTAGAGTTGATCCAGCTGGCAGGAGGTATCGATCTCCACTTGAATTCACTGAATAAATAATGGTTGCCATAGTTATTGAGCAGTCGCAACTGGTTGGAGAGCAGGGAAAATTCTGCAGTACCTTCTGTGAGTTTGGCCATGAGAAAGTCTGGTTACAAGGTTCCACAATCAGCTCCCTCCCCAAATCCAGCCAACATATTACTCAGTTCCTGTATCCTGATGATGAATATGAGATCTTGAATGTTATGTAAGACATGAGACACTGAAAGGAAGGGAAAGCTTAAATCAATGGACTGGTATTTATTCTGAGAAAGGCGTCTCTCCCTAGGTTATGAATATAATTGAATATTTTTCATTATTAATTCAATTTAGTATCAGCAAGGTGATGTTTGATCATGTTATAGCATTCAAGGGCTTCACAAAGGACGAAATCCATCTCGTTCTATTTTAACATTATTATACAAAGAGCACAACCTGGACATTTTAAAAGGAAGGAAAATTTATCCCAAAACCCCATAGGTATTTTCACGTTTATATTTTCTTTCACCCTTCTCTATATGAAGAAATAATTTTTGCATAGATGGAATCACAGCTTTAGTATTTAATATTCTACTCTTTATTTAATGTTGTAAACGTTTTTTTTTTTAATTTTGCTTCATGGCCTTCACATTTGTTCTGTTTGATGTCTTCAGAATCTTCCCTTCCATATACCATTATTTACTTAACAGTTCCCCTATTCTTCAGCCCTTTGCCTTTTTCCAGTTTTTTGTTTGTTTGCTTTTGTTTTGTTTTGTCTTGGTAATAGATAATGCTGAACCAAATGTCTCCATGTATACAGTTTTATTCTTCTGTTAAATGTTTCCTTTGGATAAATTCCCAAGAGTGGGATTACTTGGTCAGAGGCTATGAACGATTTATAGCTCTTGAAATTTACTGCCAAATTTACAGCCTGTTCTTTTGTTTTGGGGAGAAAATAAAACTTTAGGCAGAACACCACTGCATGCAGGATTCTCTTAAAATTCATTCTCTTAAAATTCACAACAGTCTCTTCTGAGACTGAAACATGGAGCCTGTGTATTTAGTAATGATAAGCCGTAGGAGACAGGTCCGCACCTGGGCTGATTAGCTAATAGTTTCTCAGGGAAAGCAAAATGATGCACTGCAAAGCTTGGAAATTAGGCCACGAATTGCTTTTTGTTAGACCTTGTAGTTACCAGCCACTTGCCCACTGGCAAGCATTGTCTTTGGTTCTGATTATTCCATGTGTATAGCACTCTACAGCTGACAGACCACTTTTCCATAACATTATCTTAATTGAGCCACAATAATCCATGGAGTTGGGTTTTATTATCATTGTACTTTTTCTTTTAATTTATTACATAACATTGAAGACACACAGGAATAATAACAGCAAAGGCTGTGTATCTGCCACTCAATAATTCCGATTTTCCTGTGAAGACATTGAGCCTTAGAGAAATTAGGTCACCCAGCTAGTAAATGACAGAACCAGAACTAGAACCTAGGTCTGTCTAACTCCAGGGCCAGTGCCCATCTCTTTATAGCATATTGCATTGAGACAAGATGCCTGCAACTTACAGTCCATGGAGATCCCGCTGGCAATCTTCATGGTTGTATTTTAATATCATTATAACATATCAGGCCAGGTGCAGTGGTGCATGCCTGTAAGCCCAGCACTTTGGGAGGCCAAGGTGGGTGGCTCACTTGAGGCCAGGAGTTTGAGGCCAGCCTGGCTGATATAGTGAAACCCTGTCTCTACTAAAAATACAAAAATTAGCCAGGTGTGGTGGCACACACTTGTAATCCCAGCTACTTGGGATGCTGAGGCAGGAGGATCTTTTGAAACCGGGAATGTTGCAGTGAGCTGAGATTTCACCACTGCATAGCCTGAGTGACAGAGTGAGACTCTGTCAAGGAAGGAAGGAAGGAAGGGAGGGAGGGAAGGAAGGAAGGAGGACACATCAGAGCTTTGGGACCTTACAGATAATGAAGTTCAACCGTCTCCTTTTACAGGGCCCCAAAGTGGGAGGAACTTCCCCAAATCATACACAACTAGCCAAACTGAGGATAATGCAAATTTTCTGGTTCCCAGGCCTCTTATTTGGGACAAGAAAAAAGTGTCTGGATAGTTCTTCATTTTTCTTATTGGCTTTTGCTTCAAGGAAATAACTTTTCTAACAAAAATGCCCCCAACTTAAAAAATTAATTTAGAGCCAGGCACGGTAGCTCATGCCTGTAATTTCAGTGCTTTGGGAAACTGAGGCAGGAGGATCACTTGAGCCCAAGAGTTCAAGACCAGCCTGGGCAACATAGTGAGGCCCTGCCTCTACAAAAAATAATTTAAAAATCAACCAGGTATGGTGGTGCATGCCTATAGACCTAGCTACTTGGGAGGCTGAGGCAGGAGGATCACTTAAGCCCAGGAGTTCCAGGCTACAGTGAACCATGACTGCACCACTGCACTGCAGCCCAGGCAAGAGAGCAAGACCATGACTCAAAAAAAAAAAAAATTAATTTTGTAAAAATTAGAAACTATTGCTTGATTTCCCATTAGAAGGATGTCTTCCATCTCTCAAGAATTATGATTTTACATGTAAATGTACTGAGAGAAGAAAATTTCGAGATAACAGAGGCCAAGCTCTTCCTTTAGAAATGAGGCTCTGAGGCCAGGCACAGTGGCTCATGCCTGTAATCCCAACACTTTGGGAGGCCAAGATGGGAGGATTACTTGAGGTCAGGAGTTCGAGACCATCCTGGCCAATATGGTGAAACCCCATCTCTACTGAAAATACAAAAAATTAGCTGGGCATGGTGGTACACACCTGTAGTCTCAGCTACTCGGGAGGGTGAGGCAGGAGAATCGCTTGAATCGGGGTGGAGGAAGTGGGGGAGCAGTGAGCCAAGATCGCACCACTGCACCCCAGCCTAGGCAACAGAGTAAGACTCTGTCTCAAAAAAAAAAAAAAAAAAAAAAAAAAAAAAAAAAGAGAGAGAAATGAGGCTCTGAAGTCTAAATGTTGAGGAAAAGCATAGTGATTTGTTGTGGATGTCAGGCTCCCTTCTCATTGCTTTGGAACAAGAGACCAGTATTTGCCTCAGAAAACTGGGTTCTAATCCTAGCTTTTAGCAGCTGAGTGACTTTGGGAAATTCATTTAACCTTATACATAAGATAGATCATAGTATTTAACATGGAGATCATTTTATATATTGTTTTGTAAAATATAAGATACTGGTATTTGTGTCTTAATACATTATAACATGCCTGCACCACATCCTTCTGGGCTTCCTCCCCTTCTCTTTGGCTTTTCCATCTCCACAGCAGGAGGACATGTGTATTTTGTACAGAGTGCCAGGTGTAGGTCAACAGGGGTTTCAAGTGGGGGGGAACAAAACAAGGAAAAGAAAAGCTGAATTCTTCTCAGTGCTGGTTAGCATGAAAACACAGGAATGCACTTTGCTGTGTTGGGTCTTTTCGAGCAGCCCTTGCATTAGCAAATGGAAGTTACAGCCTCCCCACCTCCCTTAAATGAGTCTGTCAAGATAGAAACATTAATTCATTTGCCTGGATGTGTTTCTATGTCACTCTGAAAAATAGTTGCCTACTGACAAGGCTTTGTGAGAGCTTAGTAGGATAATGTATGCAAAATAATAACCACCCTGCCATTCATTCCATGTGGCTGTGTGCCAGGAACTGTGCTTCCCTTGTGTTACTTACCTAAGCTGGCCATCCCAGAAACCCTGAATTGGGTATGATCATTTTCTTCATCTCATAAGGAAATGGGTGCTCAGAAGTAAAGAGACTTACTCTAGGGCACACAGCAAGTAAGTGTTGGGACTGGGATTCAAACCTTGGTGTTGCTTCATACCAAAGGCCATGAGCTATCTCTAACAGGGAGGGCACTTTGATTGCAAAGAAGCTATCCAAACTGGCAGAATGAGACACAGACCTCAATTAGGGATTCAAAGTGTCTTAAGATGTATTTGCCTCCTAAACTTCTTGCCCTTCTCTATCCCTCTGCAGAAAGACATGGGTTAAAAGAACCAAAGAGAGTCGAAGAGCTATGCAACAAGATCACAAGCAGTTTAAAAGACCACCAGAGTAAGGGACAGGCTCTGGAGCCCACCGAGTCCAAGGTCCTGGGTGCCCTGGTAGAACTGAGGAAGATCTGCACCCTGGGCCTCCAGCGCATCTTCTACCTGAAGCTGGAAGACTTGGTGTCTCCACCTTCCATCATTGACAAGCTCTTCCTGGACACCCTACCTTTCTAATCAGGAGCAGTGGAGCAGTGAGCTGCCTCCTCTCCTAGCACCTGCTTGCTACGCAGCAAAGGGATAGGTTTGGAAACCTATCATTTCCTGTCCTTCCTTAAGAGGAAAAGCAGCTCCTGTAGAAAGCAAAGACTTTCTTTTTTTTCTGGCTCTTTTCCTTACAACCTAAAGCCAGAAAACTTGCAGAGTATTGTGTTGGGGTTGTGTTTTATATTTAGGCATTGGGGGATGGGGTGGGAGGGGGTTATAGTTCATGAGGGTTTTCTAAGAAATTGCTAACAAAGCACTTTTGGACAATGCTATCCCAGCAGGAAAAAAAAGGATAATATAACTGTTTTAAAACTCTTTCTGGGGAATCCAATTATAGTTGCTTTGTATTTAAAAACAAGAACAGCCAAGGGTTGTTCGCCAGGGTAGGATGTGTCTTAAAGATTGGTCCCTTGAAAATATGCTTCCTGTATCAAAGGTACGTATGTGGTGCAAACAAGGCAGAAACTTCCTTTTAATTTCCTTCTTCCTTTATTTTAACAAATGGTGAAAGATGGAGGATTACCTACAAATCAGACATGGCAAAACAATAATGGCTGTTTGCTTCCATAAACAAGTGCAATTTTTTAAAGTGCTGTCTTACTAAGTCTTGTTTATTAACTCTCCTTTATTCTATATGGAAATAAAAAGGAGGCAGTCATGTTAGCAAATGACACGTTAATATCCCTAGCAGAGGCTGTGTTCACCTTCCCTGTCGATCCCTTCTGAGGTATGGCCCATCCAAGACTTTTAGGCCATTCTTGATGGAACCAGATCCCTGCCCTGACTGTCCAGCTATCCTGAAAGTGGATCAGATTATAAACTGGATTACATGTAACTGTTTTGGTTGTGTTCTATCAACCCCACCAGAGTTCCCTAAACTTGCTTCAGTTATAGTAACTGACTGGTATATTCATTCAGAAGCGCCATAAGTCAGTTGAGTATTTGATCCCTAGATAAGAACATGCAAATCAGCAGGAACTGGTCATACAGGGTAAGCACCAGGGACAATAAGGATTTTTATAGATATAATTTAATTTTTGTTATTGGTTAAGGAGACAATTTTGGAGAGCAAGCAAATCTTTTTAAAAAATAGTATGAATGTGAATACTAGAAAAGATTTAAAAAATAGTATGAGTGTGAGTACTAGGAAGGATTAGTGGGCTGCGTTTCAACATTCCGTGTTCGTACTCCCTTTTGTATGTTTCTACTGTTAATGCCATATTACTATGAGATAATTTGTTGCATAGTGTCCTTATTTGTATAAACATTTGTATGCACGTTATATTGTAATAGCTTTGCCTGTATTTATTGCAAGACCACCAGCTCCTGGAAGCTGAGTTACAGAGTAATTAAATGGGGTGTTCACAGTGACTTGGATACACCAATTAGAAATTAAATAAGCAAATATATATATATATATAAATATAGCAGGTTACATATATATATTTATAATGTGTCTTTTTATTAACCATTTGTACAATAAATGTCACTTCCCATGCCGTTATTTTATGGTTCATTTGCAGTGACTTTTAAGGCAGTACTGTTTAGCACTTTGATATTAAAATTTTGCTTATGTTTTGCTAAATTCGAATAATGTTTGAAGATTTTTAGGTCTAAAAGTCTTTATATTATATACTCTGTATCAAGTCAAAATATCTTTGGCCATTTTGCTAAGAAACAAACTTTGAATGTCAAACTGATGTCACAGTAGTTTTTGTTAGCTTTAAATCATTTTTGCTTTAGTCTTTTTAAAGGAAAATAACAAAACTATGCTGTTTATATTGTCATTAAATTATACAATCAAACAAATGCCAAATGAATTGCCTAATTGCTGCAAAGTATAACCCAGATAGGAAATCATATGTTTTTTTCCAAGAGTCATTCTAATATTTGATTATGTTATGTGTGCTTTTATGAAAGATTGTTATTTTTATATATCAAGATGATAGAACCTGGAATGTTAGGATTTTGAAATGTTAGACTTGGAAGGGGCCTGGTCTGTCAACTAGTCCAACCCCTTAAAATTCATAGAGGAGCAAACTGGGGCCCATTGAAGGGTGAAGAGTTACTCAAGGTCAAACAGCTGGTAACAGAATCAAGACTAAGACCTAATTTACCTTTCCATACTCTTTTTTTTTCTCAACTTCATCTATATAAAATCAGGCTTTTAAACATAACCACTAATATTTACCTGAAGATAACCATGAGTAAAGTATACTTTTGCATTAATTTTTTGAGCTTATATGCAAACATAATAAATATTATTAAATATCAGGAAAGCTAACATTTCATACAAGATAGCTTCAGACCAAATTCAAATTGAATTTGAATAAATTAGAAATACTGTGCATACATAACCTTCTTGTGCACCATGAGTATTTGGAAAGTTAATCCTTGTTTTTGTCGTGTCTATAAAGGAAGAACAAAACAAAATAAAAACAGAGCCCTAGAGAAATGCTGTTACTTTTTATTTTTACACCCATCAGATTTAAGGAAAAGACTTTTTAGCCATTATAATCTAGTGGTTGGAAGGAATGAAGAAGCTTTTTTAGTAATAGGTCCAGATATGAGTGCTAAAAATAAAGATGATAGCATGTTCTTCTGTCTTCCATAGTTATTACAACTATGAGAGCCTCCCAAGTCATCTTATCAACTCAACTCCCTTTTTTTTGTCTTAATGTTGCACATAAGTTTATACAGAGTGGATGACCACACTAGCACAGAAGAGAACAACATGTATTAAAGCAGGTGATTCCTCCCCTTGGCGGGAGAGCTCTCTCAGTGTGAACATGCCTTCTGTGGGCGGAAATCAGGAAGCCACCAGCTGTTAATGGAGAGTGCCTTGCTTTTATTTCAGACAGCAGAGTTTTCCAAAGTTTCTCTGCTCCTCTAACAGCATTGCTCTTTAGTGTGTGTTAACCTGTGGTTTGAAAGAAATGCTCTTGTACATTAACAATGTAAATTTAAATGATTAAATTACATTTTATCAATGGCTACTGGTGTATTGAATAAGCCTGCTTCATTTAACAGTTTTCTCTTAATTATTATGTAATAGTATTTGCTGTGAACTCTTAAGCACATCCCCAAAATTGATTTTTTAAAGGCTTAGTAATGCTGAAAAATTAATAGGATTTCTGTATTGGATATATATTAAACCTTACTGATTGGAAAGAAGGACATTCTAAATTCAATAACCATTTATTGACTGCTTCCTAGGGGCAAACCACTGCCGAGTGCTTTGAGGAGATACAAACATGCACAGTGTGTGAAACTCCTATTTTTCTTTCAACTGTATATAATGTAAATAGAGCTAAAATTTGTTGGCTAAAAGTATTCTTTAGAGGTAAGAAAGATTCATTTCTATATCAAGACAATATGATACGGTTTGTGAACCAACATTTCCAAGAATCAAGGTTACAGTTCTCAAAGATGGATGAGTGCTCTCTGCCTTTTTGTTTAAGCCATCACTACTACATTACTTAGAAACCCCTTCTTTGTGGGTAATACAAATGCAACTTTTATTCAACTCTACCCAAAACATCATGTGTTCTGAGTTAGTGCAAATATGCTTTTTGGGTGTTGATGGCTCAAAAATGTGGGAGTTCTCATGACTTACTTCATCAGTTCATGCATAAAGTATTGTCTGTGACATCTAAGTACAGATGAATGGATAAACAAAATGTGGTATATAAATACAGCGGAATATTGTTCAGCATTAAATTATAAATATATTATCTGTGTACTGTGCAGACACAGTACTTAGATGTCACAGACAATACTTTATGCAAGTGTTTGGTTTAGGAGCCAAACACTTCCTCCCGCTTCTCAACAGGACCTTCATTACTCAACCACAAACTATGATTAGTAAGAAAAGAATGACAGCTATAGTGGAGTGCCATCTGACATAAATTCAAATATAGGTGCTCTTATCAATAAAAAACAAAAGTAAGTGCTTGGCTACAATAAAAAATAAATAAGAGGACAGGGTTAAGCCCCTCCTCGAGGGACAATAAGGACAAAGGTGTGGTTTGAATGGGGAGGGGACCAGGAAGAACAAAGCTAAATAAAGGGGCACTTGCCTATGGTTGAATTCCTACAGGTTAAATGCAAAGATAAACACAAGCAACTAATTTCTGACTTTAAATTGTGGTAAAATACACATAAAATCTACCATCCTAACTGTTTTTAAGTGTACAGTTCAGGAGTGTTAAGTACATTGTTGAGCAAGCAATTTCCACAACTCTTTTTCATCTTGTAAAACTGAAACTCTATACCCATTAAACAACTCCCCATTTCCCCTTCTGCAGCCCCTGGCAACCACCATCCTACCTTCTGTCTCTATACATTTGACTACTCATGTAAGTAAAGCCATACAGTATTTGTATTTTTGTAACTGGCTTATTTCACTTAGCATAATGTCCTCAGGTCCATCCATGTTGTATTATGTGCCAGAATTTCCTTCCTTTTTAAGGCTAAATAATATTCCATGGTATTTACATACCACATTTTGTTTACCCATTAATCCATCAATGGGCATTTGGGTTGCTTCCACCTCTTGACTATTATGAATAATATTGCTGTGAACATGGATGTGCAAATATCTTTTCAAATCCTGCTTTCCATTATTTTGAGTAATTGTTGACTTTTGAGCTTAAGCGTGATTCAAGTGCTTTTCAAGAATAATCTTGATTTTATGTGGGGTTTTTTTGCCTTAGGGACTGATTTCAGAGCCTTCCCATTTCTTTACCTCAGGAGGCATCTGAGGTTGCTCCATGAACAAGGCTGTTTATAAACCATTGTTCCAGGGCTAGGCTGAAAACTGAAAGGACTAAAATCTAAGAGGCTTAAGTAGTTCATCATCTTTTCTGAACAATCTTCTCTAAGAAGGCCCATCCTTTGCCCAACCAGTTGAAAATCCCATCAGTTTCAAAGAGGTTTTTGCACCTTCTATTATTTACCATCCCTCACGATGTACAAAATTCTTCACGAAATGCTTCAGCAAAGTCTTCCTCAAGGTTGTCTCTGAGTTGCACTGTGACACTGACATGGGCAATGCTTGTTTTGTTTGGCTTTTGTTGCAAGTGCACTGTCCTTCCTGTTTTAGTTTTTCTGTCTCTGTCTGACTCATTTCATGGCTCCATCAGTGAGCTCAGGGATCATCAGCCCCTTCTCTGATTACCTCCTGTGATGCTGGCCATCCCCATGCTGGGCCTCTAAGGGTACTTGATTTGAGGGGAAGAGAAGACAGACCTAATGTTACTAAACAAAACTCTGATCTGCTCACTCAGTGCACAGAAAAAGCCAAACACTGACACTGGGATTTGCAGTGATAGAAAGTGAGGCATTTATTGCAGGGTGCCAAGCAAGGGGATCGGGCAATTAACACTTAAGACCCTGATTCCCTGATGGCTTCCAAGCAAAGGTTTTTGAAGGCAGGGGTACATTTCAGGAAAGCAGAAGTTACAGGCAAAATCGTGAGTCCAACATGGATGTTATACATTGGTTTGGCCTGAAAAGATGAGCTATCTTGAAGTGGGAGCTTACAGGTCATTGGGTGGATTCAGAAATTCTTTGATTTGCAATTGGTTAAGGAAAGAAGGTTTTGTCTAAAAACTTGGGTTCAGCAGAAAGTAAGGTTAATGTTTGGCCTGTGGGTGTGACTCTTATCCAGGTCCCACAGGAAGAAATTTAGAAGAAAGAATGGTGGTCAGTGTTCAATCTTCAGGTCCCCTTTATCTAAGGTCTCCCTGACAATGGCCAGCATTTTTTCATCAGTGGGAGTCTTGGTTTCTAATAAACAACTCAAGAACATATGTTACGGTGTTATCTTTTAGTTTCTAGAAGGAACTAAAACACCTTGTGACTATAACTTGCTTGAGATTATTGTTTATGCTATTCCTTTTTTTTTTTTTTTTTTGCTTATGGGATTGCTTATTTATTTCTCAGGGATAGCTGGGTGCCTGGAATTTCCTTTGAAGAGATTCAAGATTTTTCCCTTATTTCCATGCTTGGGGGGCCTATTAGGCCCCTAAGAAGGACCCCTGCTTTGTCTCACTAACATTTATTAATAATCTATGGTGTGTGCCAGATATTCTAGTAAACCCTTTCATCTATGCTCTCATTAAATGGTTACTACTTCTAGGAAGGAGGTGATATCATCTGTCTGAAAATGGGGAAAGAGGCCAGAAGAGGTTAAGTATTTAGCAGCAGGACCTCACAGCTAGTAAGTGGATTTGAACACAGGTCAATATGGCTCTACTGCCCCCAGCTGCATTCATGGAGCTGTGATTAGACCCCCATTCCTTCCCAGAACACAGGGGTCCTCTAATCTCAGTTCCTTGCTCATCAGCAATGGTGAGAACTCTACCCGAGCAATGCAGCTACCATCCAAAACTCTGACTCAGCTTCATCATTCCTGTCTGCCAGACGTATCACCCGTCTTGTGAATTCTTCAGACTTCTTGACTCAACAGTCCCCATCATTGTCCCCACATTACTCAAAGCTTGTCCGTCACCAGCCTCAGTCCCACTGAGCCTTGTAATAACGAGGCCCTGCTCCACTTTTGGAATCCCTTTCTAGTCCTTTCATCTCTAAACACAAACATTCCCTATCCTCAGAGTGGGCTTCAAACATTCAACCCTTCATGACTCTTTTCTGCTTCCAGCCAACCTCCCAATTTCCAGGTGATTTAAAACTTCCACTCAGGCTCTGTAGTCCACATCTTCCAAGTTGTTCTCCTTTGGACTCTACAACCACAGCTCTGTCTCCTTCTGGTTACTTTCATAAACCCCACAAAGCCATCACCCCCCAGATCTGCCTTTTTTATCCCTGAGAAAAGATGCTGAAACAAATGCAGAGAAGCAGGCAATTCTTGCTCATCTCAGAGCCATTCCCTTCCTGGCAGCCTGGCCTCCATCTTGCCCTTTGAATTTACATGTCCACAAATACACTTTCTACCTTTTGTTCCTAAAACCATAGTTTCTTCCCCCCAGCCCTTTCATCCTTTGCTGATTTTCTCCAGTTTTTAATCAATTGCTCAGAACCACATAAAGGTATTTTAAGTATAAATACACATACACACACACACACACGCACACACACACTACCCTAACATAGCTGCTTACATGCTTCCTTGTCCATATATACATATTCAGGGGATTTTTCCTTATTTTAAAAAAAAAGATACATCTTTATATTTTTATTTTTGCTTTTCACATTGTGAAGATTCTATGGGAAACTAAAAGAATATGAAGTTGAAAATATATAACTGATGAAAAAGAAAAAAGTGAAATATTTCATACATACAAAAGTGAAATTGATTTTATTTTATATTTTTGAGACAGGGTCTCACTCTGTCACCCAGGCTGGAGAGCAATGGTGCAATCATGGCCCATTGCAGCCTTGACCTTCTGAGCTCAAGTAATCCTCACATCTCAGCCTCTCAGGTAGCTAGGACTACAGGCACAAGCAACCACGCCCACCTCATTTTTGTATTTTTTTTTTTTTTTTTTTAGAGAAGGGGTTTCACCATGTTGCCCAGGTTGGTCTCAAACTCCTGGGCTCAAGTGATTCACCTGTCTTGGCCTCCAAAAGTGTTGAGATTACAAGCGTGAGCCACCACACTCTATGAAACTGATTTTAAAGCACAAAATAATTGTTACATATTTTATACATGTGAAAGAATAACAGAACAAACATATTTGAGCTTACTACCCAACTCAAGAACTATCAGAATCCCTGTGCCTCCCCAATCCCATTTCCCTCTTCCCTCCACCATTCTGAATTTTGGTTTATCATTATATATGTATATATTCCTAAACAATTTCTTGTTTAAATTTACATGTCTTTGAGTTTTGTATTTAGTATCATAAAGCATATATTCTTTTGCAACTTGTTTTATCTATGATGTTGTATGCTCTAATTCACTAATTTTCTCTCCTCTGTAGTACCTCTCTTAATACAGTATAATTTCTCTATTCACTTTCCTGTCAAGGGATATTTAAGTTGTTTCCAGGTTCTTGCTATTACTAGCTATGATGTTATGAAATTTTTGTATACATCTCCTAATAAACACAGGAAATAATTTCCCTAGGCTGGGGGTTTTCAAAGTGTAGTCCTAGGATCAGCAGTATCAGCATCACCTGGGACCTTACTAAACGCAGATTCTCAGGCCCCACTCCAGAGTTACTGAATCAGAAACTCTGAGGGAGGGCCCAGCAATCTGCATTTTAGAAGCCCTCCAGGTAATTATGATGCATACCAAAGTTTGAGACCCACAGCTGTAGGCCAACCAAGAAGTAGAGTTGGTAGGATATGTGGCATACATGTTGTTTCCTTTACTAGATATATTAATTTTCTTCAGAAGCATTGCACCAATTTACACTCTCACCAACAATAAGAATTCCTACTGTTCTACATCTTCCTCAAGAGTTGGATTCATCAGAATTTTTTTTTTTTTTTTTTTGAGACAGAGTTTCACAATTGTTGCCTAGGCTGGAGCGCAATGCCACGATCTCGGCTCACCACAACTTCCACCTCCCGGGTTCAAGCGATTCTCCTGCCTCAGCCTCCCAAGTAGCTGGGATTATAGGCATGCAACACTATGCCCAGCTAATTTTGTATTTTTAGTAGAGATGGTTCACCATGTTGGTCAGGCTGGTCTTGAACTCTCGACCTCAGGTGATCCACCCGCCTCAGCCTCCCAAAGTGCTGGGATTACAGGCATAAGCCACCATGCCTGGCCCAGAATTTTTTATTGTGAATCCAGTGGTTATAAAATGGCATCTTACTGTGCTTTATATCTCACTTTTTGCAGAACAAAGTCAATATACTCAAAACAACCTCTTACTTTTCAGAACTAGCTTTCCTTTCCTTTCTTTTCCAGCTCCCCCACTTCTGAAATGGTGTAATTTCTACCATCTTGAGGGCTAGAAATCTGGGCACTATGTTTTATATGCCTCTCTGTCTTCCAGAAGGCATTGGACAATAGCCTTCTAGTGACAACATCACTACTATCTGGCTCCAGAGAGTGGCTCTACATATGAAAATTTCAACTTGGAGAGAGTCAACGGTGGTATCATGATAGGTGACATTTTAGGATGGCTTAGATGCAGGGTTGGTCTTGGAATATGTCTCATTTATATTGTAACCCATAGGTTGCTGGGGCCTCTTTTCCTTAGGATCCAGAAGGGATTGTTTTAAACACTTTATTCCACAGAGAGGGAGGTTGAAAGTCCTCCTCAAGATATCTGTAAATTCTGCCAACTTTTATATTAGCTCTGGCTTCAGGCTTCCAATTCTGTTTGATATTAACAATTTTTTTTTTTTTCTGTACCACTGGTGTCATCTCTGCTTCTGGTGTTGCTCTGGAAGTAGAATTCAGATCTTTTCCAAAATTTCCACCCAAACATCATGAATAAGACTTTCCCAGGTTCTAGAAAACTATCTTAAGTGATGGCTGGTGACTTCTACCCCTTCTTCTTCATCCATCTCTCCATCCTTTTATCTGGAACGTGGATGCCACTTTAGACTATGGAGATAAGGGTACCTCCTAAGAACTGTAGCAAAGGAAGTTGGAAGGAATCAGCCTTGAGGATTTTACGGAGCAGAGCAACCCTATCTGAGCTGGATTGCACGTAAGTAGGCTTTTCATGAGAAAAAAAATAAACTCCTTGTTAAACCACTGTTATTTTGAGTTTTTCCATTACTCAAAGCTGAATTGTATCCCAGCTGAGACACACAGTATGCAAGAAACATGGTTCATCTACAGCATAGGTGAAAAAATAGTCAGGAGTATCAAGGATAGTGACTCAGCGTGAATCACTCATGTTTTGAGGCTACCAAAAAAAGCCAAAGACATCTTAGGTCACAATTATTTGTTTATTTATTCATCCTTTGATTCATTCAACCTTAAACTAGGCCCTGTGTTTCGGCTTCCTCATAGTCTCATAGACCCAATGATGCCTGCCCTCTCAAGGTCTTAATTCTTTCTATTGTGTAGTTTTTCTCTTACTGCCTTCTAATTTCACCTTCACCCCTAACCACCTCATCTAGTATTTTCCAATTTCTATTCCTGAGAAAGAAAATCTGACTGATCTGGCTCAATTTGTCATGCGAGGCCACATTACAGATGCCTGGACAATCTGAGGAGTAGCTGTCCTTGGGTAGTCCCTGATCCAGTCAGCTGTGGTCCTTCAGAAAATATTGTGACTTGAATAGTTTCACTCTGGAGGGACTGAGAATAAAAGGGCTCTATGACTATCAAGTCTGGTATAGGAGGAAGCTTGACTTGACTCATGGGGCCAATTGCAGGGGGCAGGTTTGGTAGAATCATTCCTTCTTGATTCCCTTACTGCCTAGCACAATATTTGGTTCACTGGAAACCCTTAGAAAATGCTTGCTGAGTGAATTCAAGTTAGATATTCGTTGATGGGAGTAGGAGCTGGAAAACATGTCAAATTCCCAAGAAATAGATGATGTCATAATTTCCAAAATTGGTATCCAGAGCCAAAGAATCAAGTTTCATCTTTTTCTCAACTTTAATGTAAAAGAAAGGGGGGTGGGGCGGAGAGAGAGAGAGAAAATCAACACAACCCCAAGGAAGGTTTGTTTTTTTCCTTTCCTTCGGAAAGCAGCTGTCAGTTTAACTTATCCCAAAATACTGTCAGTGATGAGCATGACTGAAAATGCGTTTTATCTGTAATTAGAGAGATTACATTAAACACTATTATTTGCAGACACACATTGAATTAACCCTAATCGAGGCTAGCAAATAGTAGAGCCTGCCTATTTTTCCCCTCAAAATTTTTAGAAAATTGTGACAGTTGACACACAAGGGACAATGCTGACAAGATTTCTTTCCATCAAATGCCAGACAGTAATTGTAATTGCCTTTAAAAATGTTTTAAGCAGTTTCGTTAGTAAATCAGAAGTTGCCACAAATCATGCTGATAGTTTCTAAACATGGGGGTTGTTGACTGTGCATTCCAATATGAGTTTAATGAATTGATTTTCTGAGGAATTTAACTTTGCATCTGTTTTCAGGTATAATTAATTCACTCTGATTAATGTGATTAGCATAGATATCAGTGGATTACACATGATACCCTTTATTTATTCACTTATTTTTAATCTGCCATACTGTCCATTGGGAAATGATAGAAGTGATTTTTGGGAAAACATCTTGCTGGTGGCTCTGATCACATTGGATTTCTGCAAAGCAGAATCCTGGAAGGAATTCACTGATTATTCACAGCCTGTGCAGCAATGTACTTTTGTTTGAGGGACTTATTAAAGTTTACACAGTCCCTGCCTTTAAGGAGCTTATAATCCAGAGGAGAAGATGAGACAAACATTCCAATGCAAGTCACTCACAAGGAAGAATGACTGTCCTCAGATTCTTCATTCTCTCAGGACCCCTCCCCAACTCTCTTAAAATAATGCTATTATCTAGGGTAAACTAATGCTTCCCATTCTCCTGAGCAGTCTTATTCATGGCTCCAATTACCACTCCCAAATCTGTATCTCCGACTCAGTCCTGTCTTCTGAGCTCCAGACCTCAAGGCTCCAGATGCCTCCAGATACCTTCACCTGGATATCCCAAAAGTACTTCAAATTAAACACACCAGACCCAAATTCATGACCTCCTTCCAAACTTGCTCTTCCATTTGTTTCCCCAATCTCTGTAAATGGCTCTTCCATCCAATCATCCAGGCTAAACTACTACTATGAGTCTCAGGACAGAAAGGCCATTTATTTATTAAGTCCTCAAACTTCAATGTTCATCTTTAATGTTCATTGGAATCATCTGAAAAGCTTGTTATTATTATAATTATTTTGAGACGGAGTCTCACTCCATTGCCAGGCTGGGGTGCAGTGCTGCGATCTCAGCTCACTGCAACCTCTGCCTCCTGGGTTCAAGCAATTCTCCTGCCTCAGCCTCCCAAGTAGCTGGGACTACAGGCGTGCACCACCCACTCCCAGCTAATTTTTGTATTTTTAGTAGAGATGGGGTTTCACCATGTTGGCCAGGATGGTCTTGATCTCTTGACCTTGTGATCAGCCCACCTCGGTCTCCCAAAGTGCTCGGATCACATGTGAAAAGCTTATTAAAACAGTTTCTTGATATTCGTGACCAGAGATTCTGATTTGGTTGCCTGAAGTGGAGTCCATGAATTTGTTGGGAAGGGGACCACATTTGGAGAACCATTACCCTAGAGAATGTAAAGACTGAAGGCACATTTCCATAAACCACTGTATTAGTCTGTTTTCACACTGCTATAAAGAATCATCTGAGACTGGGTAATTTATGAAGAAAAGAGGTTTAATTGACTTACAGTTCTGCAGGCTTCACAGGAAGCATGGTTAAGCCTCAGGAAACTTACAATCATGGCAGAAGGCAAAGGGGAAGCAAGCACATCTTTACCATGGCGGAGCAGGAGAGAGAGCGAGAAGGGGGAAGTGCCACACACCTTCAAACAACTAGCTCTCATAAGAACTCACTCACTATTATGAGAACAGCAAGGGGGAAGTTCACCCCATGATTCAATCACCTCTTACCAGGCTCCTCCCCCAACATGTGGGGATTACAATTCAAGATGAGATTTGCATGGGGACACAGAGTCAAACCATATCAGCCACCAAATCATTACTATATGAATTATTGCTGGAGGATGGAAATAGGAAGCAAGTCTTCTCTGGGTAGAGCATCTCTGCATCACCCAGAGGCAATATGAATTAAAGAAACAGCTAGTGATTTAATTATTCCTTCATCCATCAATTATGTATAGAGTCCCTACCTTCTCCTAGGCACAGTGCAAAGCACTGAACCAGATTCTGAGATATAATGCTGTGTAAAACCATGACACAATACATGTTTACAGTCTAGTTTTAATAAGTGAGCTCAGGCAATTCACTGAGCCTCAGCTGTCTTATCTGTAAAACTGAAATAATAATACCACTGTGTATAGACTTTATGACAGATATCAAATAGAAGACTATGTTAAGTGCCTAGTTCAGTGCCTGGCACATTGATTCTCTAGAAGGATACTTAATGAACGGTAGTTAGTTCATATTGGTTTTATGTTAGAATCATTCACTTTAAAGTGCTATGCAAGTGCTAATTGTTGTTATTATCTTTAGCATTATGTCATAGACTCCCTTAATGAACTTACCCAGGTAACTGACTAGACTTAAACAATTTTGAGAAAGGACCTCAAACAACTGAAGACAAGTTGGAATTTTGAGAGCTGTAGAACCCTCAGTTTCTTTCATTCTCTAAGATTATTAGGGCTTGGGTATTAATAGTAGTTTCCAAACTTTCCTCCAAAAACCAATTTTCCCAAATTAGTATATTGTTTGATTAACTGTAAATCTTCCGGATAAATTTGAAATGGCGCAGAAGCCAAGAGGATTGACAAAATCTGATCCTCCCTACTAGATTCTAGGATTTCAAGCATCTCCTTGGAAGGGAAACAGATACGGGGATAAAAAGAAAACTCCTCTTTGTTATTAGAGGTTCAGTGAGGTACAGTCACACAATGGAATACTATGAAGTCTTTGAAAATAGCCTTAATTTGAATTTGTTGATATGGAAAAAAAAAGTCAAAGATAAAAGGCATATTATACAGCAGTATGTATATCATTTTTGATTAAATAAAAAGCATAGGATTATTTATTTATGTGTATGTATGTAGACAAATCCTGGAAAGATATACAGTCAATTGTTAACAAAATTTATTTCTCTGTGGAATAATTATGATTACCCTCCAAAAATTAATCAGTATTTTCTAGATTTTATTCAATGACTAAATATAACTAGTGTAATAAGCATATAGAAAAGAGAAAGAATGAGTCCCCAAGCCCTACAAAGAAACTGTGGGTGCCCTCAGGCAATGTTAGTGAATCTTGGCTGCATAGTATTATAGTATCACCTGCGGAGATTTTAAAACGTCTAAATGGAAAGGCTTCCCCCAAGACTTTCGAACTGAATCAGAATCTCTGGGGCTGAAACCAAGGCTTAAAGCTCCTGGGATCTTTTCAATGTGTGGCCAAGTTTGCGAACCACCACCTCAGGGGAGCTTTCCTTGCCTTTCCTTGTTCTTCATAGGTCCCCTTGGGACCCTGGCTTATAGGGGCCTCAATGGGTCCCCAAAACCAAGCTAGTCCCAGGACAGACATCAGTATTCCTTGACTCCCAGTATCACATAGTTTACTCAGTTTTCATAATAATTTTGAAGTAGATCAGATATAGAAATTACTTTGGCCCCTGGACAGATATAGGGAGAAAAGGTGGAAAGAAGATAGGAGTTACAATATCTTGGTTCTTAGTGAGGTCTCTCATGCAATAGCTGTGTGATCATGAATAGGTTACTTTCTTTTTTTCATTCTCAGTAGCATGATGAAATGGACAGGTTACTTTTCTCTGAGGCTCAGATTCCTTATATCTGCACCTTTCTTGGTTGCTATTAGAATTAAGTGAACTAAAACACCTGAAAAGAGTTTAGTAAAATGTAAAGTACTGTATACATATTAGTATTTTTCTTACTGTATTTTGTAACTTATAATATGAAGAATGTGCTCAGAGGAAGATGGTATCTGAGGAAGGCCCAAGAAAGGTTGACTTAGTCTCCCACAGGTGACCTAGGCCTTTGGATGGACAGAGACACCTAAGTTCAGAGATAATTAAATAAGGGGCAAATCCATGGGCTGAAACTAAAAGCAACTTGACAGGCCAAACATGAAACGCTTCTTTCTCAGAAATTCAGAGAAGAGACTCTGAGAAAGATCTTCCCTTTGCTTTTCTGATGGCTTCCAGGAATTTTTCCCAAAGTGGTGATGTCCCAGAATAAATAGGTTTTCTTCTCATAATTAAGCCAGAGGTTCTGGGAATGGGCTGAGCCCAAGGCTGAATTCATTACTGAAATTGCTCGCAATTTAATTCAGGTCTCAAGGAGGTGGTTCCTGTGTGTCACTGGAAAAGAATCCTTGCATCTAGACAACAGTCTCCACGTGTCTCTAGTTTGACTTTGAAATGGGAAACTTTTTCTCCCTCTGCATATAATTTACTCTCTAAAAATAAAAGTCCACAAAAGGAACTTCACTGCCACACTGTCTATAGAAGGACCTCAGCATTAGGTGGGACCATCTGGGACATCATTCAACATGGGTAGTGACTGAAGAAAGTTGAGTGTCCCTTAGGAATAGAGACCATGAATTTTTCATTTTTGGATCCTCTGCATGTCACATAGTGCTGGACCCAGAAAAAAAGTACACAGTGAATCAATGCCTTGGAAGCTTCTCCTGCAGGCACAGTTCCTAGTGCATGGTAGGAAATTATAAATATTTGTGAAGTGGACAGCATTGCCACCAGGTCTAACACACTGAAAATATCCACTGTTGTGCAAATGTGTTTTCCTTTTGTTCCTCTTAGACCATTATTGGTTGCAACTATTCCCATAAAATGGATTTGTTGCCCACATTCTCAGAGTAGGCAATAACCCATGTAATAATATGGGTCTGTACTAAAGATAAACCATAATGTTTGTATGGTAGCTTCTCATTGTATTATACAATGGGATCTTCACTTCAGGAAGAATGACTACTGCATTCTTCCAGGCCAGAGATAAAGGAAACCTCAACTAGGAAAGTGACAGTGGGAGGGAGACACATGGGAATTTTCGAACCTGATTTCTGGTTTGGAAACCTGAGTGGATGATGGTGCTATTTGCTGAGATATGAAGAAGGTACAGTTTTGACTGGAAATATGATGAGTTTAATTATGAACATTCTGAGTTTAAGCACTTGTCTGCCACCCAGGTAGAGGTAGAGATCATTAGATATGAAAGTATGAAACTCAGAGGAGACATCTGGGTAGATATATTCTCTTTCTCTCTCTCTTTTTTTTAAGACAGGGCCTCACTCTGTTGCACAGGCTGGAGTGGAGTGGCACAATCACAGCTCACTGCAGTCTCAAACTCCTGGGCTCAAGCAATCCTCCTGCCTCAGCCTTCTAAGTAGCTGGGACCACAGGCGCATGTCACCACTACCTGGCTAATTTTTGAATTTTTAGTAAAGACGAGGTTTCATTGTGTCGCCCAGGCTGGTCTCAAACTCCTGAGTTCAAGCCATCCGACCGGCTTGGTCTCCCAAAGTGCTGAGGTAACATGTGTGAGACACTGCGCCCTGCCAGTAGATATAGTCTTGAGAGCCATCGGCATATGATAGTAATAGATATCCAGAAATAATGGGTATGTGGGAAGAACGGTGAGAACAGTTTTAGGGGTAAGGAGGTGGCAGAGACCCATAGCAGAAGATAGAGTAGAAAAATGAAAACGGACACAGTTAGCATGAAAGAAAAGAAGGTAGTATGGAAGGAGACATGAGGTTAAAGGAGAGATTTTTAAAGATGGAAAAGACATGTTTAAATGCAAATGGGAGAGGACCAAGATGGACCCACTGGACTCCTCTGAATCTGTCCGTCACCACATCTGACTACAGCAACCTTAAGACAGTAATGACAACGGCTTCACTTTTGCCTTTTTTTTTTATACTTTTAAGTTCTAGGGTACATGTGCACAACATGCAGGTTTGTTACATATGTATACATGTGCCATGTTGGTGTGCTGCACCCATTAACTCGTCATTTACAGTAGGTATATCTCCTAATGCTACCCCTCCCCCCTTCCCCCACCTCACGACAGGCCCCGGTGTGTGATGTTCCCCTTCCTGTGCCCAAGTGTTCTCATTGTTCAATTCCCACCTATAAGTGAGAACATGCGGTGTTTGGTTTTTTGTCCTTGCGAAAGTTTGCTGAGAATGATGGTTTCCAGCTTCATCCATGTCCCTACAAAGGACATGAACTCATCATTTTTTATGGCTGCATAGTATTCCATGGTGTATATGTGCCACATTTTCTTAATCCAGTCTATCATTGATGGACATTTGGGTTGGTTCCAAGTCTTTGCTATTGTGAATAGTGCCACAATAAACATACGTGTGCATGTGTCTTTATAGCAGCATGATTTATAATCCTTTGGGTATATACCCAGTAATGGGATGGCTGGGTCAAATGGTATTTCCAGTTCTAGATCCTTGAGGAATCGCCACACTGTCTTCCACAATGGTTGAACTAGTTTACACGCCCACCAACAGTGTAAAAGTGTTCCTATTTCTCCACAACCTCTCCAGCACCTGTTGTTTCCTGACTTTTTAATGATCGCCATTCTAACTGGTGTGAGATGGTATCTCACTGTGGTTTTGATTTGCATTTCTCTGATGGCCAGTGACGATGAGCATTTTTTCATGTGCCTGTTGCCTGCATAAATGTCTTCTTTTGAGAAGTGTCTGTTCATATCCTTCACCCACTTTTTGATGGGGTTGTTCGTTTTTTTCTTGTAAATTTGTTTGAGTTCTTTGTAGATTCTGGATATTAGCCCTTTGTCAGATAAGTAGTTTGCAAAAATTTTCTCCCATTCTGTAGGTGGCCTGTTCACTCTGATGATAGTTTCTTTTGGTGTGCAGAAGCTCTTTAGTTTAATTAGATCCCATTTGTCTATTTTGGCTTTTGTTGCCATTGCTTTTGGTGTTTCAGACATGAAGTCCTTGCCCGTGCCTATGTCCTGAATGGTATTGCCTAGGTTTTCTTCTAGGGTTTTTATGGTTTTAGGTCTAACATTTAAGTCTTTAATCCATCTTGAATTAATTTTTTTATTCAAAAAATGCCTCAGGATGACAAGAAACTTACATATGAACTAGAAGGAAGTTGGGCTCTGCACCCATCTTGGGATACTTGCTCACAATTTGTGAGGAACATACTAAATATGATACCATTTCTATTGTTCTTGCTATGTAACAAACCACTCTAAAAACTTAGTGGCATAAAACAACAATCTTATTGTCCTCATGGTTTCTGTGGATCAGGAATGTGAACAGAGCACAGCAGAGGTGGCTTGTTTACCTTCTCTGATGTCTGGGCCTCAGCTGGGAAGGCTTGAAGGCTGGGAATGACTTGATGGCTGGGGTTGCAGTCATCTGGAGGTGTCTTTGCAGTTGATGCTGGCTGTGGCTGGGACTTCAGTTGAGCTGTCAGCTGGAAAAAATACAGTGGCCTCTCCATGTGGTGTCTCTGTATGAGCTACTTTGGTTTTCCTCACAGCTTGGTGGTGGTGAAACTTTATCACTTTTTATCATCTAACCTAAGTCACATCTAAGTGAAGTCACACAGCATCACTTCTTCCAAAGTCACAAACCCACCCAGATTCTAGGGAAGAGAGTTTAGATTCCACTTCTCTATGAAAACAGAACAGAAGTCATATTGTGTAAAAAAAAAAAAAAAAAAAAAAGCATGTGGAGTGGGAATTATTCTTTTGATCATCTCTGGAAAATACTATCTGTCTTAGATGAATGGTCCTACTGAATTTCTCTTTTGCCTGAACCTTGGAAAAATTCTTCTTATGTCCCTCAATAGTTGGGACTCAAAAGCCAAATGAGTAAGGTATTGCTGTATTTAGGAGTCCAATAGGACAGTCTTTCTGTAAAAGTTACACTGGGAAAGATTGGGTGGATGATATGTAATCACCGGGAATATGAAAATCTCACAGGACAGAGAGTTAAAGAATAGAAACAAAACAATTTTGGAAAAACCAGAAGCAATGGAAACAGACCCTGCTTGGAGGAGCAATAGAGAAAAATGGTGGCAAAATGAAGACTGGGGAGAAATGGCAGATCAATAAACTCCACAAAAGAAAAAAATAATTTCTGTGAAATATAAATAAACCTTGGGCAAAATTAACCAATCTTAATTTAGAAGCTGGCAGAAAACTTTTTTCAGTTAGGGAGGCCATTAAGTGAAATTATTTGCTGTTAATGTGTATTAACACTAAGCATTCTGTCATATTTGGAAGTGACAGCTCAAATGGGGATTAGACATAGACCATACTTCTTTTATTTCTTTCTTTTTCTTTTTCTTTTTTTGAAACAGAGTCTCACTCTGTTGCCCAGGCTGGAGTACAGTGGCACGATCTCAGCTCACTGCAACCTCCACCTCCTGGGTTCAAGCGTTTCTGTTACCTCAGCCTCCCAAGTAGCTGGGACTACAGGCGTGTGCCACCATGCCCAGCTAATTTATTTTGTGTGTGTGTGTACAGTGTGTATATATATACATACATACATATATATACACACACACACACACACACACATATATATATATATATATACATATATATATATTTTTTTTTTTAGAGACGGGGTTTTGCCACGTTGGCCAGGCTGGTCTTGAACTCCTGACCTCAGGTGATCCGCCTGCCTCAGCCTCCCAAAGGGCTGGGATCTTATAGGCCTGAGCCACTGCACCTGGCCCTGACATGGACCATACTTCTAAGAGATAGTGATAGCTCAGAACTATATAGTAATCTACTATTATTACATCTTATATATCTGTTTATAAGTATAACATATTCATTATGTATTACACTAAGCTATTCTTGTTTTTTTTTTATGTTATATCTTTTACTTACTATGTTAAATATCCAGCCTCCTAATTAGTATGTTATCTCTGAATCTAGGTGATACTTCTTGGAGTTTGTCAAACTATTTAGTCATCACTACCTAGAACATTTTAGCACCAGGTGGCAGCAGAATCTGAGGCCTGTGATAAAATACTTGGGAGGGAACTAAATACCTAATTAAGAATTTACCTCAAACCTAAGGATAGTCAATAAGGAGAAGCAATTGTATTACTTTCTACTCCCCATGTTTAGATCTCTCTCTCTCTCTCTCTCTCTCTCATTTTAGTGAGTGATTATTCAAATTGAGCATACATCCTATTCCCCTCTCCACCAAACACTCACATATACTCTTGCAGACACAGAGAAGAACCAGTCAGCCAAGTGGACTATGCTGGAAGTTAGCCTCAGAAGGGCAAGAAGTAGGGTAGCCTAGCTCATAGACAGCCAGCAGGATAAACCCAATTGGAATCTGTTAGGAAAATCCAGGGCCTAAAGAACAGAGACCAAGTTCAAACACCAATTCCAAAGGGCCAGAAGCAGAACCAAAGTCAGGTAGCAGAATGAAACAAAGAAGAGATGTCAAGCAAGAGCCAGTAAGACTCTTACTTTAAGAGTGACCTGCCTTTAGAGGTCAGCAAGGGCATGTGCCTGGTTATTTTGAGCTGGCCTAGGGACCAAAGAAACTAGACTCAAGCTGTCTTCTTAAACGTGTCCAAGTGTTGAACACATCACTTCTACAAAATTCTCCATTCTATATAGGCTGGCCAAAGAACAGAGGCCTGGCAACCCTTTGCTGGTTTTAACATGCCCTTGCTGGGTAATCCAAATTGGCTGTTTGCAATCTTGAGGTGACTCCCTCATCAGATGTGAGTGTGAGTGCTAATCTAGTCTTGCCAGAAGACATGGTAGTGATTTGAAATGGCAGTTCCAATTTGCTCTTATTTAAGAAGCAATGCCTTAGTCACTTCAGATTGTGTTTGGCTAGAGCCTGGTACTTAAGCTGTCAACCTGGATAGAGATGCATATTTTTTAAACACAAATACAAAATCATTTCAAAGTCCATTAAACAGATTTTTTTAGTTGGAGAGTAACTCAAAATTGCCAAGCTACTTTATTTTCTGATGCTTTCTTAATCATGATATAGTTCCAAATAGTATTTTTTCAATAATTATAATTTCAAAGCATTTTTTAAAGTGGGTGTTAGAGCTTTTAGGCATTTTCAATCGTTTTTTTTTTTTTTTTTCTGGTTGCTATAAAGGCCCAGGATTCAGCCTTGGAACATGTATCAGACTCTCCAATTAGATATCATTATTTGAAGAATCCCTAAAAAGTTTTGAATGAAGTCTATTGTAATCATTCTTTATCCTTGAAGCTTTCCACATAGCTGCATATTTCACTGCATCGTTGTAAAAATGGATTTTCATGTCATACGTTTAAAGAAGAAACAGCAGTCTTTGTTTCAAGGAGTATTTCAGAAGATTTACAGGTGTTAACAGGTGGAAAGATTCTGGGTTTTGCCTTTAGGAAGAAAAAACCAACCGAGCGCGGTGGCTCACACCTGTAATCTCAGCACTTTGGGAGGCTGAGGCAGTTGGATCACTTGAGGTCAGGAGTTCAAGACCAGCCTGACCAACATGGTGAAACCCCATCTGTACTAAAAAAATAAAAAAAAAAAAAAATTAGCTGGCCATGGTGGTGGGCGCCTGTAATCCCAGCTACTCAGAGGCTGAGGCAGGAGAACTGCTTGAACCCAGAAGGCAGAGGTTGCAGTGAGCCAAGATCGTACCACTGCACTCCAACCTGGGCAACAGAGTGAGACTCTGTCTCAAAACAAAACAAAACAAAACAAAACAGAAAAGACCTATTGTGGTCAGTAACAGCCTCTTGAGAAGTAGCTGTGCTTATGTCTGTCTGGCCTTACAAACCAAGAGGTGGACCATCTCACAGAACAGGCATTTGTGGACAACTAGCAACAAGATGGAGTCAAAGTACACCATGGAGAAGGGTTGCTAGGTGCCCAAAGAGGCTTTGAAGGGGCAGTACCCTGGTGTGATCTCCATGTTCCAAGGGCTATATCTCAGGAACCTGATGTAGCAGCATAATGACAGTGGATCAATCTCTCCCTCTCTCCGACCCCCAGATAGACATCCACTAACAAGCTCTGATGTATAAATTAGAAGTTCATCTATTAACTTATAACTGGGTCTTGGATCTTCCGGTAAGTATTTTTTTTTATCTATAGGTGGATCTACACAGAAAGCCAAATTACTATCAAAAGTCTGTTGCACATAAGCATAGACTCAGTACAAGGGGAGTTAGTGTTTCAAGTGTTTCATAGCTTTATCTTGGATACAGCCCCATGTACATGTCTTAGTAAGGAACAAAGCAGATTAAATCCCTCTCATTTCTTTATCTAAACTTGATCTAATAGCGTTTCTAGTTCTGACATTTTATATTTAATTTCACTTGATTTCCATTGTCTTCTGGTGCAAATGGAAGCATAACAGGAACTCAAAAGGGTCAGACAAACCACAAGAGCAGAGAACTGTGTCTCAAGATACATGAGGAAGAAGAAAGAGTGCCCTTAACTACTTTGCCTGACTTCAGATCTCTAGACACAGATAAATTATACCATAATGTGCAAGAAACACAGATAGTGTTAGGGATCCTCTGAGACATTTGGAGACATTATAGAGATGAGAAGAGGTGCTTGAACCCTAAAAACAAACAAATGTTCTGATTTTCTAAATAAAGAAATAATATGAGCCAGAAAGGACAGGAAAGTAAGTCTCAGGCGAATCTCTGACATAGTTTAAGTAGATTACTGAGCACAGAAAAGAATGCAGTGATCTCCAGGAAGCAGCATGGGTTCAGTACAAATGCCTCAGCCATACCAGTTCACCATTTACTATTTACTTTTCAGACATATTTATTTATTAGTTTGTCAGATTTAAGATTTGAGCCCATATTTAAATAATAAAATCAACTGGATGATATTTTCTTTCTTTGTTGCGAATCAGTTAATGTAGCAGCAATATTTGTTGATCAGAAGTCTGGGTTAAATCCTTTAGTGAGTCCATCCTGACCAGGTGCCACATGTGCCACTCTGCCTTCTGTAGTAGAATTGGAAGGCAACATTTCAGTTCCAGTGAAACTATATTGCCTTTATTTGGAACATCTCTAAATTCCTCTTTCAGAATTTTCTTCTGAAGTTTACTTTTTATTTTCACAGGTAGAAAGTCACTGCCCTTTGGAGAATAGATGTTTACCTTTTCCAGAAACAGTCGGTTCTATCAGAAACAAAAAGAGATAAACTTTGATCACCTAGTCAATTGAAGGACGGGGTAGAGGGAAAGAGGAATGCAAAGATTAGGGTATACGTATAAACCAAAAAAAATTAAAAAAAAAACAATTTAGTTGTGGGTCTTGTAAATTGGCCCTAAAAGCAATCTCTAAAGAGAAATTTTTAATAGAGAAAAGTGTCCTTAATACTTTTCAAATTCTTAAATATTGTCTTGCTTTCAAATGTTTAAAAATGTAAGTTTCAAATGATAAGGCAGATTGAACACAGAAATACATACAGACTTTTCTATACCTTCCTTTCTTCTGATCTAGCAATGTAATCCAAGCATTATAAGTAACTTTTAGTTACAGAACAGATTTCATTTCATTTCAAATGAATTTTTATATGTATGATTTTTAAAATCAGGATAGCAGATTTTATCTTCTAACGTCTGATAGGCTATAAATCATAGCTCCTTTATTTAAACTTAAACAGAATTTTAAAAACACAGGGGAACAAATATTTAGGTA